>NC_000017.11:9430504-9582020 GCF_000001405.40 Homo sapiens | reverse complement strand
TGGAAGGAATACATATTGCTCACACAACTGGCAGGAAGTTTGGGTCACACTTGAAAAATGGGCAGAACTAATAGCAAGGCGAGACCAAGTGACACGAACTAAAGACCTCTCATGGCCACACTGCTCAACGCTCAATGCTCCTTTGCATCACTCCTATAAGAGTGGAACTGCGGAGTGGGAATGTCTGATTGGCTGAGCCAATTATGTTACATCTCTCAATTGGCTGCCAAGGAATTAGGAGAGAAAATATGTGCCTCTTTTAGGCTCTCACTAAAGCAATAGAACCAGCTCCTACCTATCTTGGGATACTTCTCAAATAGAATAGTATTCAGATATGAGTAACCAAAACTACGCATGTCCACTACAATTCATATTCTTTGCTCTCTTCTCCAGACATACTCACACACACTCCATTTTCTCTCTCTCTCGCCTTCTTTCCCTCCCTCTCTGTCTCCCTCTGTCCCTCCCTCCCTCTCCTCTCTCTCTATCCCCTCTCTCTCTCTCAAACATATGTACACTTTAAACTGTAATAGGCTCATATCATATACACTGTATGGCAAATTGCATTTTATACTTAATATATCTTTGACATCTTTCCTCATTAGTTTATATACATCTATTCCATTTTTCTTAAGGATTGTACAGTATCAAATTGCACAAAAGGAATATAATTTTAAAAATTATTGGAGTGAAATTCACATAACATAAAATTAACTGTTTTAACGTGAACAATTCAGTGGCATTTAGTGCATTCACAATGCTGTGCAACCAGCACTTCCGGGTTCACGCCATTCTCCTGCCTCAGCCTCCCGAGTAGCTGGGACTACAGGTGCCCGCCACCGCGCCCGGCTAATTTTTTGGTATTTTTAGTAGAGACGGGGTTTCACCGTGTTAGCCAGGATGGTTTCCATCTCCTGACCTCGTGATCCACCCGCCTGGGCCTTCCAAAGTGCTGGGATTACAGGCGTGAGCCACCACGCCTGGCCACGTAGTTTTTTAAAACTTCTTACCAATGGATATTTGGGTTGTTTCTTCCAATGTTTCAGCTATTATAGACAATATCACAGTGAACTTCATTGCACGTAAATTTTTTGAAAACTTGAATAAGTGATTCAAGTTCTTAAAAGCTCAAAGATTATCTTCATTAAGAATTGTAATAGATACTATAAAACTGGCCTTCAACAAGGTTGTAAAATTAATACCGGCAGTAGTAATTGAGAACCATTTCTTATTCTCACCTTATTATATTACCCTTTTTTTTTCTTTTTTTGCCTTTGCCAGTTTGAGAAGCAAAAACCATCACTGCTTTAACAGCATTTTTTTTTTTTTTTTGAGACCAGGTCTCACTCTGTTGCCCAGGCAGGAGTGCAGTGGTACAGTGATGGCTCACTGCAGCCTCTACCTCCCGGGCTCAGGTGATCCTCCCACCTCAGCCTCTCGAATAGCTGGGACTACAGGCATGCATCGCCATGCCTGGCTATTTTTTGGTATTTTTTATAGAGATAGGGTTTCACCATGTTGCCCAGGCTGGTCTCAAACTCCTGGCCTCAAGGAATCTTCCTGCCTCAACCTCCCAAAGTGCTGGGATTACAGGTGTGAGCCACCGCACATGAACTTTAATAGCATTTTTAAGCTTTTTGAGCTAATAGCCATTTATATTTATTTACCTATTTACAGGGTCTGGCTTTTTTTTTTTTTTTTTAAGAAAGGTCCAGAGAGTAAATATTTTAGGCTTTGTGGGCAATATGGTCTCTTGAGACTACTCATCTCTGCTAGTGTGGTATAAAAGCAGCCATAGACAATACATAAACAAATGGGCATAGCTACATTCCAATAAAACTTTATTTACAAAAACAGGCAGTGGGCCAGATTTGGCCCATGGGCTATAGTTTGTAGACTCCTGATCTATTTTGTTGTTGTTGCTGTTTTTAGTTTACAAGAACTCTTTGTATACCATAATAGGAAAATCATGGGCTACCTACTCCAGTCAATGGATGAATGTGACCAAACCCTTAATAACTATAACTTTATTAAATGTTTTTAACACAAGTATATTTGGTTTGCTTAAATAATTAATTCCTGCCAAAATGCAATACCTACAAGTGTCAAGTACAGTTACATATTGATACCATAAAGTTAAAATTCAAGTTTAAGGCCAGTCGCAGTGGCTCACGCCTGTAATCCCAGCACTTTGGGAGGCCGAGGCGGGTGGATCACCTGAGGTCAGGAGTTCAAGACCAGCCTGGCCAACGTGGCGAAACACCGTGTCTATTAAAAATACAAAAATTAGCCAGGCGTGGTGGTGGATACCTGTAATCCCAGCTACTTGGGAGGCTGAGGCAGGAGAATCACTTGAACCCATGAGGCAGAGGTTGCAGTGAGCTGAGATCGCACCACTGCACTCCAGCCTGGGAGACAGGGTGAGACTCCATCTCAAAAACAAAATTCAAGTTGAATAATGTAACACTATAGTGAGTTTCAGTGTTGCAGTGAAAAAAGGGGCCTTGCTTTTGTTTCTAATTTGTTTCCATCTGAAATCTAAACTCAATCACTTGGCATTTAAGGCCTCTGAAATCTAATTCCAGCTTCTCTTTCCTGTGTTATCCTGCCAGTCCCTGATACTGAAGCCACCCCAAGCTATTTGCCGTTCTGCAACCAGGCCCTGCACTCTCCACTTTTCCTCCTCTGCCCCCCGCTATTGCTGTAACCCGAAATATTCTGCCTTCAATCTTTACCCGCTGACTCCTAGTCAAAATCTTCTCTCCCGAGCCTTATGAAAGTTCTGTCTTTTCTCTCTCTCCCTCTTTTTTTTAGAGCTAGTATAGTTTTTTAAAATAAACATTTTTCAGTGAAGACAAAATACAGAAAACTCAATCACTTTTGTAAACTAAAAATAAAATCATAAGCTCCCCAATCCCCACGCTGCCCCACCCCAGCCACTGACTGAACAGATCCCCTTTTGGACAAAGGGACCCCCAAAACACCTTAAAGCAGAGTTCCCAGCCTTGACGGAATGGGAGGTCAGACATGCCTCATTATACCCCCTCTCTTTTGTGGTTTAGACACAACTGATCAGCATTAATGTTAAAATAGAGATCATAAGATTGACAGACTGTGTGGCAATAAGATATCAAATTATAAACAGGACCTAAGGCCATGCACCCCTCCACCCTGTGGCTGGGTGTGGTGGCTCAAGCCTGTAATCCCAGCACTTTGGGAGGCCAAGGCGGGTGGATCACCTGAGGTCAGGAATTGGAGACTAGTCTGGCCAACTTGGTGAAACCCCGTCTCTACTAAGAATACAAAAATTAGCCAGGCGTGGTGGTGGGTGCTTATAATCCCAGCTACTCTGGAGGCTGAGGCAGGAGAATAGCTTGAATCCAGGAGGTGGAGGTTGCAGTGAGCCGAGATTGTGCCATTACACAACAGAGCGAGACTCCACCGTCTCAAAATAAATAAATAAAATAAACTATACACTGCCACAAGGTTTTTCTTTTTCTCTGGCAGCTAAACAAGCACTTATCTTGAGATAAGCAATATGAAAACAACTGCAACCTGTCCAGTTCATAGGCACTTACTAACTGAAGCCCTGTTCAACCCGCCATAAGAACAATTTTGATTGGACAACAGAGTGATTTCAGTAATGTTCTCCTGGCAAGAAGACCACTCACCACGGACTACCTCTGGCCAGTTTACTGAGGCTTCCCACTTAACGTGCCGTCATGTCCTGAAAAGGCCTTTTGACATATAGGACCTAATTGTAATACATTTAAATGTTAGGTCTCCATCCCAAGGTGAATATGAGTGATATATTACATCAATGTTTGTTCAATACACATGTGTTGGGACCACCTTCATGAGTATTCATAGCTCCTCCTATAACCTGTTGAATATGTATGTTTGTTTGTTTATTTATTTATTTATTTTTTGAGACGGAGTCTCGCTCTGTCCCCCAGGCTGGAGTGCAGTGGCGTGACCTTGGCTCACTGCAACCTCTGCCTCCCAAGTTCAAGTGATTCTCCTCCCTCAGCCTCTCAAGTAGCTGGGATTACAGGCACCTACCACCACGCCCGGATAATTTTTGTATTTTTAGTATAGATGGGATTTCACCATGTTGGACAGGATGGTCTCGAACTCCTGACCTCAGGTGATCTACCTGCCTTGGCCTCCCAAAGCGCTGGGATTACAGGCATGAGCCACTGCCCCCGGCCTCAGTTGCAGAGTTCTATGTGTGTGGTTCTACATTGGCTCAACAAGTGACATTATGCAACCCACTGTAGGCTGCTCAATTGTTTCTCAATGATCTTGTAACCAACTCTCAAGATATCTGATATCCGAAATGTATAAAGCACTCACTTTCTATTGGAGACTGTTAAAGTTAAACCAAGAGTCAAGAGCTAAGTCCTAGAGTATGCTTAAAACTTTAGACAGTGATTGTTCTGCATCCACATTCTTAAAGCTTTCAGGCATCACAACACACATTTTTGAAAAGTTTTGCTTCTCCTAAAATCTAATTCATTGTTTTCTCATCCCTCAAAAAACCAAAACCCCTCAAAACGAACAATAAAACCCCACAGCTTTTTCTTCCCAGAATCTTCAAAACAATAGGCAGTCACAAATAAGATTTCAGCGGAGCGGCCCAGTCCCTTTTTCTCTCCGCTTTAGCTCCCCCTGGCGTCCCCTTCCCCTTCTGTCCTGGTCTGAAATCCTCATCATTTAGAAACCTTCCTTAGGATTAGAGGACCAACAACATCCCCTCAGGGGGTTGCTCAAACACACGTTCCCTCCCAGCCCTTTCTCACTGGTACGCCAGTTGGGATTTTAGCAGATTTCCTAGCTGGTCCCAGGGGCCGACACAGACAGCATCCTTCTGTGTGGTTACGAAGGAGCCTAGGGCTTTGCGAGCGGCGTGGGGTTCAGAGCCAGGAAGGGCTGACCTAGTGGGAGAAGGGTTACAACCACCCGTACTCATCCGGCCCGCCTGGGGAAGAGGCATTTGGTCCCTTTTAGGTGCTGGCGCTTGTCCGAGCTGGTAAAAACCATCTCACTCCCTGAGGCTTGGATCGAGGAAGTGACTCTCCAAGGCCTTGGGGCAGGTCAGGCTGTGCGGGTCCTCCTGTGCGTGTCCCTGGCCAGGGCTCCTGCCGTTGTCCCACACTGCCTTTCAGGTGTCCCCGGTGTCTCACTATTCCTGTTTGCACTACACGTCCTCCGAATTCCTAAACCAGCCAGCCCAAAGATGCTGGAGGCCTCACCATTGAAGCCGATCACGGCGTCAAGTTCCAGCTCCGCCACTTGGGCCTCCGGCGAAATTTTGTTATCCATCCTTGGGAGGTTCTGATTACTTTGCTCTCCTCCCTAGTGGCTGCAGCGTCTTCTGGTCGTTATGGTAACGGACGAGCGCATGCGCTCCAGCTCCACGCCCGCGCAGAAACCCAGCCTGCCGAGTTCGAGTTCATTAGCATTCTTGGAAATGAAGGGGTATGGGGACTGGAAGAGAGATGGGGTGGGACTCCTCTTCTTTTTTTTTGTGCTATTTCTCTGGAAATTTAGGGGATGGCACTAACTGCGCAGAACTAATTCCTCCATCCCCTTGTGTAGAGTCTGTGACTTCTTAGTAACTCTAAAATCAAGCACCGAATGAATGGCATTTAAAAAATATGTAATCAGGCGTACAGGACTGATAGGAAGGCTGCTATAAAAAATATATATAATTGATACTTCTTTGGGCCCCTGTTTGGAGCAGTGTGAAAAAAATTTTAAAGATTTTTTAAAAAGCGTTGAGGTATAATTTACATATCATAAAGTTAACTTAAAGTAGGTTGTAGTGAGTTTACGCAGCGTGCAAGTCTCACCGCAATCTAGTGTTTTGTTTATTGTTTTGTTTTTGAAGCAGGATAAATTTTTAAGTAACTGCTACAGAGAGGTCTTGCAGCGCTCCCACCTTCCTGGGAAAATGCTTTGTTTCTATTTAACAATTTTAACTGAGCTTAGCAGTTCGCGTCTCTTGGTGGGAGTAGATTGCTCCAGTGTACTGTCCGCAGGGGAGCGCTTTGCTTTCTCTGATTATAGTTCTGAGGCCCTAGCTACTCACTTTGCAAACTCCAGGCTCCGGTCGCGCACGGGACGAACTGCGGGGAGTGAGCCGCGCGGGCCGCCGTAGTCAGCTGCTAAGAGCAGGAAGAGTCCGAGCGGCGGGCGGAGTCTGCAGGATGGCACCGGACCCCTGGTGAGTCCCGGGTGAGGGCGGCGGTGCGTGGAGGGACCTTCGGGGAGGCCGGGCTTCCGGAGAGCAGGCAATCACTTCGCATTGCCGCTGGTGGCCTTTCGGGATGAGGGGAGGGGCAGCGAGACCTTTCCTTTACTGAGGGGGCTCAGCCACATCCCGCCACACTTGGTCCTTGCAAGGGTGGCCCGGGAAGGAGACCAGGTGGTCCGCTGGAGAGCTGAGGACTTACGCCAAATCTCTGAATATTCCTTTAGCTTTTCTGGGCTGCATCTCGTTGCGGGGATTTCCCGCCCATCCTGGTTTTGGAGCTAGCTGGCTGGTGCAGGCTTCCCTGGACTCCTATAAAAGTGAAGTCGAAATAACGTTTTTGTAGCATGTCAGTCCATCCCGGTAAACCCCCTTATTTCACAGGTGGAGAAACCGAGGTTCAGAATCCATGGCCACCAGCCAGTTAGTAACCAGCTGGGGCTAAGACCTAGATCTTGGGGGCCCTTCCAGATACAGGAACCTGGGAGGGAAATTGTGCACTTGTTTATAAGGCATTTTGCACTTTCTTGAGTTAATATCATGAAGTCTTTTCCTTTAGCAGTAGCTTCTGCAGTAAAACAATAGCTGATAAGGGTGATTTATTTAGCAGTTAATCCCAAGGACTGCATGATGAAAGATGCAACTTTTGATCCCAAGGAACATATTGTTTGATCCCAAGGAACGTATTGTTATTGAACATAGACTTGACCTTTCTGCTTAATAATTAAAAACATATTACAGCTCTATAACGTTCTTGTTGGAATATGTGTCTTATGTTGTTATTTCTAATATAGTTTATAATTGTTTAAGTTGCCCACATCCTGGATATTAGAAGAATGGATTCCAAGAACAAAGTTGAGTTACCTGGAATCTAGGTTATTTGGGCCAATTATTTAATTTAGCATTTACTTTTTTAAACCTAATTTTAGGCCGGACGCGGTGGTGGCTCACGCCTGTAATCCCAGTACTTTGGGAGGCCGAGGCAGGCAGATCACCTGAGGTCGGGAGGTCGAGACCAGCCTGACCAACATGGAGAAACCCCGTCTCTACTAAAAATACAAAATTAGCCGGGCATGGTAGTACATGCCTGTAATCCCAGCTACTCGGGAGACTGAGGCAGGAGAATCGCTTGAACCCGGGAGGTGTAGGTTGTGGTGAGCTGAGATCGTGCCATTGCACTCCAGCCTGGGCAACACGAGCGAAACTCCGTCTCAAAAAAAAATAAAAAACCCCAAAATCCCTAATTTTAACAGTTATATACACCCCTTGATAGAGAATATTCAATTTAGAGAATATTGAAAATTTGCAAAAAGGAAAATAAATAGCATCTTTAACTCTATAATTTGGAAATAGCCATTAATGATTTTTTTACAATGAATTTGTTATTTTAATCTATATTTTTATATATATATATAATATAAACAGCATTTCTCTATGTCATTGGACATTCTTTGAAAGCATAACTTTCTTTTCTTCTTTTTTTTTTTTTTGAGACGGAGTCTTGCTCTGTCTGTCACCCAGGCTGGAGTGCAATGGCGCGATCATGGCTCACTGCAACCTCCACCTCCTGGGCTTAAGCAACTCTCCTGCCTCAGCCTCTGGAGTAGCTGGGACTACAGGCGCACGCAGCCACGCCCAGCTAATTTTTTGTATTTTAGTAGAGACAGGGTTTTACCGTGTTGCCTAGGCTGATCTTGAACTCCTGAGCTCAGGCAATCTGCCCGCCTTGGCCTCCCAAAGTGCTGGGATTACAGGTGTGAGCCACCGCACCTGGCCTCATAATTGTCTTATGTTGCAAAATAATGCATCACATGAATGACCATAATTTATTTTTCTCCTATTAGTTTTTTGTTTTTCTGATGTTTTGTTTTGTTTTATCATTGCAAAGGGAGTCCCTTTGTTCTATCTCTTATTTCCTTGGGCTCCCTGTCTAGAAGTAGGAATTAGAACTGTTGAAAGTGAAGCATTTATACTTTTTTTGTTATTCTCAATCAGTTTGACTAAGTGGCTTTCTCATTAGACTGTTGAAAGTGAAATAGAACTGTTGGGCTCAAGGGTATAAACATTTTTAAGGCCCTTGATACTGTGAACCCCAAAGTATCTGAGACAGGTCTCAGTCAATTTAGAAAGTTTATTTTGCCAAGGTTAAGAATGCACCCATGACACAGCCTCAGGAGGTTCTGAAGACCTGTGCCCAAGGTGGTTGGGGAACAGCTTGCTTTTATACAATTTAGGGAGAATAATACATGAATTAATACATGTAAGATTTATGATGGCTCAATCCAGAAGGGAGGGACACCTCGAAGGGCGTGGGGGGCTTCCAGGTCATAAGTAGATTGAAAAATTTTCTGATTGGCAATTGGTTGAGTTATTATCAATAGAAACGAATGTCTGGGTTATGATAAGGGGTAGTGGAGACCAAGATTTTATTATGCAAATGAAGCCTCTGGGTAGCAGGCTTTAGAGAGAATACATTGTAAGTGTTTCTTATCAGACTTAAGGTCTGTATTGACGTTAATGCTGGTTGGCTTTTCCTGAATTCCAAAAAGGAGGAGAGGATATATAATGAGGCATGTCTGATCCCCTCTTCCCATCATGGCCTGAACCAGTGTTTCAGGTTAACTTTGGAATGCCCTTGCCTTAGAGTAGGGGTCCGTTCAGATGGTTGCGGGGGTGGGGGGGGGTGTTGGGGGTGGGCTTAGAATTTTATTTTGGTTTACAATACATATTCCTAAGTTGCCCTCCACCTTCTGGAACCTAAATCCCTCAGTTTACAAATCAAGTAGGAAATAAAGGTCAAAGATAAGGGACAGGCCCCCAGTTATCTATTTAGATTGGTGGAAGCTATCACTGGACCCCAAGCTTCTTCCGCAGTTAATGTTGATAAAGCATTGAGACTTTTTCTGTTATACTTCATTAGTTTGATGAAGTGGCTTTCTCATTGGACTATTGAGAGTGAAACAGTGAGACACTCAGCTGTGCTCCCAAAGCACAAAATGGGTCGCTGATTAGGGGGGTAGAAAGGAGTATGGGAAGGGACTTGAAAAACCTATAAAAGGCCAGGTGTGGTGGCTCACACCTGTAATCCTAGCACTTTGGGAGGCTGAGGCAGGCGGATCATAAGGTCAGGAGTTCGAGACCAGCCTGACCAACATGGTGAAACCCCGTCTCTACTAAAAACGCAAAAATTAGCTGGGCATGTTGGTGTGTACCTGTAATCCCAGCTACTCAGGAGGCTGAGGCAGGAGAATCACTTGAACCCAGGAGGTGGAGGTTGCAGTGAGCCGAGATTGCGCCACTGCACTTCAGCCTGGGCGACAGAGCGAGACTCCATGTCAAAACAAAACAAAACAAACAAACAAAAACAACCTATAAAAACAGATTCAACTACAGCTTTACCTTTGTGTTGCTAAAATCATAGGTCATTGGCACCTCCCTCAGTGTCTAGCAATGGAATATAGCAGTTACTATTTTAATGGCCTATCAAAGCAAGTGGTAAGCTCGCTGTTTAACAGAAGGAGCCCATGATCACTGTCTCTGAACTGGCTCTTTGCTAATGTTAATTAGCTTTACCTCCAGGGTAACTAATTTGTTGATGATGTACCATTTCCAGAAAAATTACAGTTAAACCTTAATAGTTTTATATCCTGATTGGACTTTTTATGTTGGTAGCATGGTCTTCTTTGTGTTGAATTGCTTTTTAAAAACTTTATTTTGGAAGGTAAAAGATACACAAACTAGAATAGTATAATGGGCCCCTTTCATACTCACCACCCAATTTCTGTGATTATCAATATTCTGCCATTCTTGTTTCATCTCTACCCTCCACACCTTTTTTTTTTTTAATTTTGAGATGGAGTCTTGCTCCGTCGCCCAGGCTGGAGTGCAGTGGCATGATCTTGGCTCACTGCAACCTCTGCCTCCTGAGTTCAAGTGATTCTCCTATCTCAGCCTCCCGAGTAGCTGGGATTACAAGCACCCGCCACCATGCCCGGCTAATTTTTGTATTTTTAGTAGAGATGGGGTTTTGCCATGTTGGCCAGGCTGGTCTTGAACTCCTGACCTCAGGTGATCACCCGTCTTGGCCTCCCAAAGTGCTGGGATTACAGGTGTGAGCCACTACGCCTATGCCCGGCCCAGATTACTTTTTTTTTTTTTTTTTTTTGAGACAAAGTCTTGCTCTTGTCCCCCAGGCTGGAGTGCGATGGCACAATCTCGGCAAACTGCAACCTCTGCCTCCCGGGTTCCAGCGATTCTCCTGCCTCAGCCACCCCCCGACCCAATTACTTTTTCTAAACTAGTACTTCAGGCACCTGTGTGCTTGATAGTGTAATGAGGTTGTCTATTGCCCCAGGCCAAGGGTTCCCGCCCGGACTTTACCGCAGATTGGAATCACTTGGAGAGCTTTTAAAGCTCCCCACGCACGCCCAGGACAAACCCCATACCAGTTGAGTCAGAATGCTGAGGTTGGGACCAGGCATTGTTATTTTTTTAAAGATTCCCCAGTGATTCCAACTTGTTTCAGAACTATTGCTCTTTAGGGCTAAAATAACAACACAAGGACTGGAGTCAGGACACCTGGGAGTTTGTGCTAGCTGTGTGCATTTCTCATAACCTCTTTAGGGCCACTCTCTGTGTGTAAAAGTGTTCTCTATGGCTCTGAAATTCTCCTTTAAGTCTAACCTTGTTAGACTGGTGTTCAAGGCTCTGCAGAAACTAGCTTCTACTCATCTCTACCATTTTATACTTAACAGGCTTCCAGGGCCACCACGCAGCCAAATGTGCCGGGCACGTTTCCTTCCATTCATCTTTGCTCGCCCTGTCTTTCACTAAGTCTAGAATGTGCTCCTCCCTCCTGTCTGAATAAGAGACCTGCTTTAACTTCGTGGTCATCCAGATGTAACCTCATGGACCCTCTCCATCTGAGTGCCTTGGTCAGCAGTAATCTCTTCCACCTCTGAACTCCAGACGTACTTACCACTTAGATCCCACATTTGGCAGGAGGCAAAACTTACCATATGTGGATGATTTTTATATGTATGGTCTGGACCCCAGAGCCAGACCTAGGCTCCTCTTTTCATGATAATATGGAGGAAAAAAAAGTGAAATGTGGCAAAGTTTGGACCAGGACCCAATTTTCCTTATTAGCCTCCTGTTTTCTTAATTCTGTGTTTTCTTGTATCACTGCTATTTTTCCCTACACACACAAATACATGAATATATATATATGAATGATATACATGTGACATATACGAATATATAGTATATATGATATAAACGATAGGTATGTGATATATATGAATATATGTATCAGTGATATATATGATATATGTGAATGTGTGTGATATATATATGATATATACATGAATGGTGCTGCTTTACAGTATAGTGGTTAGTGGTTCAGGATCCTCTCTCAGGATCCTTATGAAGTTTACAGTGTAAAGCTCTTAGTATAGGACCTGGCTCAGGTCAGGTACTCAGCTGTTACTATTGCTATAATTATTCTAGTAAGATTCCTAAGGGAATTGATGGGCGCATTTTCCTTCATTTAAAAAAAAACACTTATCAAGTTCCCTCAGTGTTCAAATGATATGTGGGAATTGAAAGGTTTTAAAAAATATATTGTTTACTCAAGCAAAAATTAGGACATTAGGGGCAACAGGAGTTTCTGATATTTTGTGATGGACTGGTCCTGGAAGATAATGCTGGTCATGTTAGTCCACAGAGTCTCTGCTTTTTAGGAGCAGACTGTCTGATAGGAGAAATGAAATGTGTATGCATGCTTAAGTATTTTCGTTTTTTTGTTCGTTTGTTTTTTTGAGATGGAGTCTCACAGTGTCGCCGGGCTGGAGTGCAATGGTGTGATCTCAGCTCACTGCAACCTTCGCCTCCTGGGTTCAAGCGATTCTCCTGCCTCAGCCTCCCAAGTAGCTGGGATTACAGGCACCCGCCACCATGCCTGGCTAATTTTTTGTATTTTTAGTTGAGACGGGGTTTCACTATGTTGGCCAGGCTGGTCTCGAACTTCTGACCTCATGATCTGCCCGCCTCGGCCTCCCAAAGTGCTGGGATTACAAGCGTGAGCCACCGCATCCGGTCTGCTTAAGTATTTTCTATATGATAGAAAGTAAAAATGCTCTGAGAGAAGCAAAACATAAGGGGCTATTGGGAGTTCACCGTGAACCCTTCAAAGCCTCCAACGCTGCTGAATGACAACTAGAAGCTTATTAAATGTTTTGAGAGAATTCTGGCAAGCTCAGATGTCAGGTGGGTGTGTGGCCTTTGTCCCCGGAGCATTTGGTTTTAGGCTAGACAATACTTGCTGTTCCTGCACCCTAGAGCCGCCCCCAGGCATCTGCAAGCCCAGCTTCTTCACCTTGCCTCGGTGTCACCTGATCCTAAGTAGCAGCTCCTTATCACTCTCTGTCCCTTTATCCTGCTGCGTTTTTCTTCTTAGCACCTATCAACACCTGACATACTATGTATTTAATTGTTTTATGACTTTCTTTCCTTAAAATATGAGCTCCTTGAAAGAGGGACTGTGTTCATTCTGTTTACTGCCGTCTTCTCCAGTGCCCAGAACAGTGCCCAGTGCAGCGGAGACCCCCCACATGCTTTCTCATTGGCAGAACAGCACAGTTGTTAAGAGCCCCGGCTCTGGGGCCAGACGGCCTTGGTTTGCAGCAGGCAGAACCACTTGGGCAAGTCACTCTAACTCTTTGTGCCTCCTTTTCTCATGTGTGAGTTGGAGATGGTAATGGTACCCACTTCATAGCGTTCCTGTTTTGATTAAGTGAGTTATTACTAACGAAGCCTTCAAAATAGTGCCTGGCACATGGTAAATAACGCTCAGTCCATGTTGCTTTTACTGGTCATGTTATTATTCTTCCCCTCTGTTTGAATTCTTTGGCTAGAATGAAAATGTCAAACTTAGACAATGCAAAAATTTCTTTTAAAGAACCTTAAGGCCAGGTGCAGGGGCTCACGCCTGTAATCCCAGCACTTTGGGAGGCCGAGGGGGCGGATCACGAGGTCAGGAGATCGAGACCATCTTGGCTAACACGGTGAAACCTCATCTCTACTAAAAATACAAAAAATTAGCCAGGCATGATAGCGGGCGCCTGTAGTCCCAGCTACTGGGGAGGCTGAGGCAGGAGAATGGTGCGAACCCAGGAGGCAGAGCTTGCAGTGAGCTGAGATCGTGCCACTGCACTCCAGCCTGGGCGACAGAGCGAGACTCCGTCTCAAAAAAAAAGAACCTTAAACATTTTCTCTTTTTACGACTTTGGTGCAGGTTCTCCACATACGATTCTACTTGTCAAATTGCCCAAGAAATTGCTGAGAAAATTCAACAACGAAATCAATATGAAAGAAAAGGTGAAAAGGCACCAAAGGTAATACCATGAAGGAATTAGTACCCAATGATTTGTTTGAGTTTTGAGGCCTGAAAACCCTCCTATCTTTCTTTGAGGCTGTCTGTGCACATGTGTGTATGATGATCTATCTGCTTACATATGTTGAATTGACATAACACCCAACCAGTTAGTAGTGATGTAATCATTGAGACTAAATGAGGCATAACACATTTAAGTTCTCCTGTTTTACTTTAAATATTTCTAACAATTTTATAGTCTAGTTCAGGGGTTAGTAAACTTCCTACAGATAATAAATCTTTTAGTCTTTGCAGGCCAAGAGATAATGTCTTCAAGTCTTTGAGTTTCCATTCTCACCACAAGAATAGTTATAGTTTTTACATTTTACATTAAAAATGTAAAAACAGGCCAGGCATAGTGGCTCACACCTGTAATCCCAGCACTTTGGGAGGCTGAGGCGGGCAGATTGCTTGAGGTCAAGAATTCGAGACCAGCCTGGGCAACATGGGGAAACCCCATCTCTACTAAAAATATAAAACCTAGCCAGGCGTGGTGGCACACACCTGTAGTCCAGCTACTCAGGAGGCTGAGGCAGGAGAATTGCTTGAACCTGGGAGGTGGAGGCTGCAGTGAGCTAAGATCGTGCCACTGCACTCCCGCCTGGGCAACAGAGTGAGACCCTGTCTCAAAAAAGAAAAAAATGTAAAAACCATCTTTAGTTTTGGGCTGTATAAAAACAGTGGTGGGATTTGGCTAAGAAATAGATTTTTGTGAAATCACAAGTTTATACTTGTGACTATGATTGAAAATAGAAGCCTCTGATTCAAATCTAACACCACACCTTTCTTCCTTATTTTCCACATTCCAAATTTGTATTTTCTTTCTCTCACACTGAGAATCCTAGTTTCCAAAAGCATCAGTATGTTTTTACTCATTTGGTCTATTTTACAGTTTACAGAAAATGGTTTCAAAATTACTATAAGGTACCACGACAAACACTGAGTTCAAAATTTGAGTCTTTTTAAGTGTAGACTAATCTACTAAGAATGCTGAGGTTATTATGTTCCAAAGTTATTAGAATTATTTTTTAACTTTCAAGTTCAGGGGTACATATGTGGGTTTGTTGTATAGGTAAGCTTGTGTTATGGGGATTTGTTGTACACGTTATTTTGTCACCCAGGTATGAAGCCTAGCACTTACTATTTTTCCTAATCCTCTTCCTCCTTCCAGCTTCCTCCCTCTGCTAGGCCCCAGTGTGTGTCATGTCCCCCTATGTATCCATATGTTCTCACCAGTTAGCTCTCTCTTATATCAACAGAGTGAACAAACAACCTACAGAATGTGAGAACATGCGGTATTTGGTTTTCTGTTCCTGCATTAGTTTGCTAAGGATAATGGCCTTCAGCTCCATTCATGTTCCTGCAAAGGACATGATCTCGATCTTTTTTATGGCGGCATAATATTCCATAGTGTATATGTACCACATTTTCTCTGTCTGGTCTACCATTGGTGGGCATCAGGTTGATTCTATGTCTTTTGTTATTGTGAATAGTGCTGCAGTGAACATACACATGCATGTGTCTCTTTTTTTCTCTTTTTTTTTCGAGACGGAGTTTT
Organism: Homo sapiens; assembly: GCF_000001405.40. NCBI lineage: Eukaryota > Metazoa > Chordata > Mammalia > Primates > Hominidae > Homo > Homo sapiens. The sequence continues at coordinate 9,566,774 of NC_000017.11, read as the reverse complement.
GCTCTTGTTGCCCAGGCTGGAGTGCAGTGGTGCAATCTCGGCTCACTGCATCCTCTGCCTCCCAGGTTCAAGCCATTCTCCTGCCCCAGCCTCCAGAGTAGCTGGGATTACAAGTGCCTGCCACCATGCCTGGCTAATTTTTGTATTTTTAGTAGAGATGGGGTTTCGCCATGTTGGCCAGGCTTGTCTCGAACACCTGACCTCAGGTGATCCACCCACCTCGGCCTCCCGAAGTGCTGAGATTACAGGTGTGAGCCACCCCACCTGGCCACATGCATGTGTCTTTATGGAAGAATGATTTCTATTCCTTCGGGGATATACCCAATAACGGGATTGCTGAATCAAATAGTATTTCTGTTTTTAGTACGTTGAGGAATTGCCACACCGTCTTCCACAATGACTGAACTGATTTACACTCCCACTAACAGTGTATAAGTGTTCCTTTTGCTCTGCAACCTCCCGAGCATCTGTTATTTTTTGACTTTTTAGTAATAACCATGCTGAGTGGTGTGAGATGGTATCTCATTGTGGTTTCGATTTGCACCTCTCTAATGATCAGTGATGTTGAGCTTTTTTTCCTGTTTTTTTTGGCAGCATGCCTGTCTTCCTTTGAAAAGTGTCTATTCGTGTCCTTTGTCTGCTTTTTAATGGGGTGGATTTTTCTTGTAAATTTGCTTAAGTTCCTTATAGATACTGGCTATTAGATCTTTGTCAGATGGATAGCTTGCAAATATTTTCTCACAATGTGTAGGTTGTTTGTTCACTCTGTGGATAGTTTCCTTTTCTGTGCAGAAGCTCTTTAGTTGATTAGATCCTATTTGTCAATTTTTGCTTTTGTTGCAATTGCTTTTGATGTCTTTGTCCTGAAATCTTTGCCTGTTCTTATGTCCAGAATAGTATTGCCTAGGTTGTCTTCCAGGGTTTTTATAGATTTAGGTTTTACAGTTAAGTCTTTAATCCATCTGAAGTTAATTTTTGCATGTGGTGTAAGGAAGGAGTTCAATTTCTATCTTCTGCACGTGGTAGCCAGTTATCCCAGCACCACTTATTGAATAGGGAATCCTTCCCCCATTGCTTGTTTTTGTCAGCTTTGTCAAAGCTCGGATAGTTGTACGTGTGGCCTTATTTCTGGGTACTCTATTTTTTTTTTTTTTTTTTTTTTGAGACGGTGTTTCTTCTCACCTAGGCTGGAGTGCAGTGACATGATCTCAGCTCACTGCAACCTCTCCCTTCTGGCTTCAAGTGATTCTTGCATCTCAGCTACCCGAGTAGCTGGGATTACAGGTGTGTGCCACCATGCCCAGCTAATTTTTGTATTTTTATTAGAGAGAGGGTTTCGCCATGTTGGCCAGGCTGGTCTCGAAATCCTGACCTCAAGTGATCTGCCCGCCTCGGCCTCCCAAAGTGCTGGGATTATAGGCGTGAGCCACTGTGCCTGGTCAACTGAGTTCTCTATTCTGTTCCATTGGTCTATGTCTGTTTTGGTTACTGTAGCCCTGTAGTATAGTTTGAAGTTGGGTAGCATGATGTTTCCAGCTATGTTATTTTTATTTTATTATTTCTTTTTGAGACAGAGTCTTGCTCTGTCGCCCATGCTGGAGTGCAGTGGCACGATCCTGGCTCACTGCAACCTCTGCCTCTCGGGTTCAAGTGATTCCCGTGCCTCAGCCTCCCAGGTAGCTGGGATTACAGGCATGAGCCACCACTTCCAGCTAATTTTTGTAGTTTTAGTAGAGATGGGCTCTTGTCATGTTGGCCAGGTTGATCTCGAACTCCTGACCTCAGATGATCCTCCCGCCTTGGCTTCCCAAAGTCCTGGGATTACAGGCATGAGCCACTGCGCCCGGCCCAGCTTTGTTCTTTTTGCTTAGGATTGCCTTGGCTATTTGGGCTCTTTTTTGGTTCCATATGAATTTTAAAATACTTTTTTCTAGTTCTGTGAAGAATGTCAATGGTAGTTTAATAGGAATGGCATTGAATCTATAAATTGCTTTGGGCAGTATGGCCATTTTAACGATATTGCTTCTTGCTGTCCATGAGCATGGAATGTTTTTCCATTTGTTTGTGTCATCTCTGATTTCTTTGAGCAGTGTTTTGTAGTTCTTCTTGTAGAGATCTTTACCTCATGGTTAGCTGTCTTCCTAGGTATTTTATTTTCTGTTGGCAATTGTAAATAGGAGTGCATTCCTGATTTGGCCCTTGGCTTGACTGTTGGTGTACAGGAATGTTAGTGATGTTTTGCACTTTGATTTTGTATCCTGAGACTTTGCTGAAGTTGTTTATAAGCTTAATGAGCTTTTGGACTGGGAGTATGAGATTTCCTAGATATAGGATCATGTTGTCTGCAAACAGGAATAGTTTGATTTCCTCTCTTCCTATTTGGATGCCTTTTCTTTTCCTTCCTTCCTTCCTCTCTCTCTTTCTTTTCTTTCTTTTCCTTCCTTTCTCTCTTTCTCTCCCTTCCCTTTCCTTTTTCCTTTCCTTTCTCACCTCTTTTCTCCTCTCCTCTCCTCTTTTTCTCCTGCCTAACTGCCCTGGTCAGGACTTCCAATACTATGTTGAATAGGAGTGGTAGCAGAGGGCATCCTTGTCTTGTGCCAGTTTTCAAGTGGAATGCTGCCAGATTTTGCCCATTCAGTATGATGTTGGCTGTGGGTTTGTCATAGATGGCTCTTATTATTTTGAGGTATGTTCCTTGAATACCTAGTTTATTGAGTGTTTTTAACGTGAAGTGGTGTTGAATTTTATCAAAAGCCTTTCCTGCTTCTATTGAGATAATCATGTAAGTTTTGTCTTATTTCAGTTTGTGTGATGAAACACATTTTTTGTTTTGCATATGTTGAACCAACCTTGCATCCCAGGGATAAAGCCTACTTGATCGTGGTGGATAAGCTTTTTGATGTGCTGCTGGATTCGGTTTGCCAGTATTTTTTTGAGGACTTTTGCAATAATTGATTCTTTTTTTTTCTGTCTTATGTTATCCTTTGTTTCTGTTTTTATTCATTTTCAGGAGTTGCTTTTTCCAACTTTTTAATTTAATTTTAAATAAGTAAAACATTTACATTGTTCAGAAGTCAAAATTATATAAAAGTGACACTCAAAGTCTTGTTCCCATTCCTCTCTTTTCTACCTTTTCTTAACCTACTTCTTCTAAATAACCATTTTCATTAATTTCTGGTTTATTCTTCCTGTGTTACTTTATGCAGAAATAAGCCTCTATGCGTGTGTATGTGTGTGTCTCTGTGTGTCTGTGTGTTATGTTTTTCCTTTTATATAAAAGATACTCTTTCGGGCCAGGCGCGGTGACTCACGCCTGTAATCCCAGCACTTTGGGAGGCCTAGGCGGGTGGATCACCTGAGGTCAGGAGTTTGGGACAAGCCTGGCCAACATGGTGAAACCCCGTCTCTACTAAAAATACAAAACATTAGCCGGGTGTGGTGGCGAGCACCTGTAATCCCAGCTACTCGGGAGGCTGAGGCAGGAGAATCACTTGAACTCAGGAGGCGGAGGTTACAGCGAGCCGAGATCGTGCCACTGCACTCCATCCTGGGTGACAAGAATGAAACTCTGTCTCAATAAATAAATAAATAAATAAATAAATAAATAAATAAATAAATAAATGGATGAATGAATGAATGACAGATACTCTTTTGTATCTTGGTCTTTTCACTTAATAATATAGAAACCTCTACATTTCATTTCATATTCCTTGTTCTTCTTTAGCGCTGTATGGGTACTCTATTGCGTAGATGTAACATTCTTTATTTAACCTGTCTCCTAAGGAAAGGCAGTTAAATTGCTTCCAGTCTTGAGTTGTGAATAACACCGCAGTAAATAACCTTGTCCTTTAAAAAAATTATGTGCATAGGTGTCTTTTAAAGGTGAGTTCTCAGAACCAGGGCATATGTAATTTTTTTTTTAACCTGATGTGAAATCCCCCCTCAAAGGGGTTGTCACTCTTGCCACCCCACCAGCAATGTGTGAGCACTTCTGTTTCTTCACAGCCTGGCCAACAGAGGGTGTGTGAATCTTCTGAATTTTTGTTAACCTCATAAGTGAGAAATGGTGTTTCAGTGTCGTTTTAAATTTGTATTTCTCATATAATGAGTCAAGTGGAGTGTGTTTTCATATGCTTAAGGGCCATATATATATATATATATTTTTTTTTTTTTCTGTGAACTGTCTTGTCTTTTGCCCATTTTTCTACTGGATTATTAGCCTTTTTAGTCTTGATCTTTTAAGAGCTCCTCACGTATTATGGAGATTAGCTCCTCGTGATAAATTGTAGTTATTTCCTTTCCTTTATCATTTGACATTTGACTTGCTTGTGGTAGTTTTGTCGTGTGAAAGTTTTTTTTTTTTTTTCCTGAGACGGAGTCTCGCTCTGTCGCCCAGGCTGGAGTGCGGTGGCGCGATCTCGGCTCACTTCAAGCTCCGCCTCCCGGGTTCACGCCATTCTCCTGCCTCAGCCTCCCAAGTAGCTGGGGCTACAGGCGCCCGCCACCATGCCCGGCTAATTTTTTTTTGTATTTTTAGTAGAGACGGGGTTTCACCGTATTAGCCAGGATGATCTCGATCTCCTGACCTTGTGATCCGCCTGCCTCAGCCTCCCAAAGTGCTGGGATTACAGGCGTGAGCCACTGCGCCCGGCCGAAAGTTTTTTTTTTTTTAAATGAAGTTGGCTGTCAATCTAATTGCTTCCATATATTTAGTCATATCTAAGTTTTTGCTGTTTGCAGGTTATAAAAAATTTATTCCTGCTTTCTTCTATTAAATATATGGTTTCATCTTTTACACGAAGGGCTGCTATCTATTTAACTAGTGTCATCTTCTTGGACAGTTAGATTCTTTCTAATTACAAATGATTTTTCAGTATAGCCAAATTATTGCCCATGTTGAAATAAATTCTTCAATGTAGACTTTCTGGATTTGGGTTGTATAACATTTTAAGCCTTTTGAACACATATATTGCAGAATGACATTTCTACACCAATTTTGATTATCTTTTAAAAAAATCTCTACTAGGTAAAAATACTATGTTACAGTAGTTTAATATGCATTTTTTATTAAGTCTTGAATATCTATTCTTTTTTTTTTTTTTTTTTTTTTGGCCAGATGGAGTTTTGCTTTTGTTGCCTAGGCTGGAGTGCAATGGCACAATCTCGGCTCACTGCAACCTCCGAGCCTCCCAGGTTCAAGCGATTCTCCTGCCACAGCGTCCCAAGTAGCTGGGATTACAGGCACCCGCCACCACGCCTGGCTAATTATTGTATTTTTAGTAGAGATGAGGTTTCACCATGTTGGCTAGGCTGGTCTCAAACTCTTGGTCTCAAGAGATCCTCCTGCCTTGGCCTCCCAAAGTGCTGGGATTACAAGCGTGACCCACCGTGCTCAGCCTTGTTTCTTAATTTCAAAGTTTTCTTTTTATATATGTTAACTATATTAAGCTTTGATCTGGTATATTTAGTATAAATGCTTTCTCTATTAACTTGATTTTGTAAGTGACATTGTAAAACATGTACCGGTTTTTAAATTTTATTTGAAATTATCAGCATGTTTGTTGGTGATCTTTTCTAACGGGGGAGGGGATATCATGCTTAAAAAGGCCTTTTACATGCAGAGGTTTTATAAATACTTAATTATGTAAATTTTCCTTAAGCTTTTTTTCTGTTATTTTGTTTTGTGTGTGTAAATCTTTGAAATACTTGGTGTTTACTTTGGTGTGTCATAGCTATCTAATTTTATTTTTTCCCCATTTGTTAAATTATGAATTTCTTTCCCTCATATGAAATAGTTCATATTTAATTCACTGGATTTTTATACAGCTACATTGTTTCTGGGCCATTTGTTATGTTGCACTACTGAAGCTGTTGGTGATTGCCAGCATCAGCTATTGTAGTTTTTTGTAATCACTTTATATCTGATTAAGGCCCCTATGAACATTATACATATTCATGGTTTTTATTTTCCTTCATTTATCCTTCTGTCAGAGTAATTTTCTAAAACTTCATTTAAAAAAAAAAAAACCAAACTGTGCTGTGCCTTAATTATCACCTCTTCTGCAATAAAAGAATTCCAAATGGAATTTCAAGTAGACATGTATGTTTATAGATTTAAATTGGGGAAAACTTACATTTTCACAATATTGAGCGTTTCCTTTTGTTTCTTCAGCAGTATTTATTGCACAGTTAACTATGTGCCAGGCACTGTGCTAGATATTTTTTAGATTTTGTTGGTATTGTTAATGAAGTTTTAAAATAACAATTTAAAAAACTCTCCCTAGGTATTACTTAAATTTAGGAATGCCCTTGATTTTTTTTCACTTTATGACTAATGACCATATTGAATTCTTCTACCGTTTTTTTTTTTTTTTTTTGAGATGGAGTCTTGCTCTGTCGCCCAGGCTGGAATACAGTGGCATCATCTTTGCTCACTGCAACCTCCGCTTCCTGGGTTCAAGCCATTCTCCTGCCTCAGCCTCCCCAGTAACTGAGATTACAGGTGCGCACCACCATGCCCAGCTAATTTTTGTATTTTTAGTAGTGACAGGGTTTCACCATGTTGGCCAGGCTGGTTTTGAACTCCTGACCTCGTGATTCTCCCACCTCTGCCTCCCAAAGTGCTGTGATTACAGGTGTGAGCCACCACACCTGGCCTCTACTGTTTTTAATAGTCTTTCAGCCCGGCCTCTACTGTTTTTAATAATCTTTCAGTCTGGGCGCGGTGGCTCATGCCTGTAATCCCAGCATTTTGGGAGGCTGAGGTGGGTGGATCACCTGAGGTCAGGAGTTCGAGACCAGCCTGACCAATATGGTGAAACTCTGTCTCTACTAAAAATACAAAAATTAGCTGGGCATGGTGGTGGGTGCCTGTAGTCCCAGCTACTCAGGAGGCTGAGGCAGGAGACTCGCTTAAAACGGGAGGCGGAGGTTGTAGTGAGCTGAGATCACTCCATTGCACTCCAGCCTGGGCAACAGAGCAAGACTCTGTCTCAAAAAAAAAAAAAAAAAAAATATATATATATATATATATATATATAAAATAATAATAATCTTTCAGTTGATTCTCTTAACTCTTCCAAGTAGACTATTATCAATCTGCAAATAATAATAATCTCATCTTTCCTTGTAGTCCTTGTATTTTTCTTTAATTTTTCTTATTGTATTGGTTAGAACTTCTAGAGCAAAGTTAAATAATATTGTAGTTAAGGCAGTAGTGTTCTATTCTTAGTTTTTCTTTCTTTTTTGTGTTTCTTTTGTTTATAATTTCCCCTGTACTGTACTAATCATATGTTTATTCTGTTTTTAATTATTAACACCATGAGCTTTATTACTAGATTTTTCTAACATCAAACTGTTCTTAAATTACTAGAATAATTTCTACTTGTTGATAGTATATGGTCCTTTTTAATGTAATTCTGAATTTGCTTTGCTAATATTTTTTGAAAAGATTTTTACATTTATAATTCCTAAGTAAGATTGACATGTGGTTATCTCTGTCAGTGCTTGTTACCCAGGTTATGGTAGCTTAAAATGTGAATTAGGCTTTCCATCTTTTTTTGTGCTCTAGAAAGTGTCTTTAATTATGATAATGACATTTTTTCCTGATTACAAAAGTGATCATTTTCTTATAAAATATTAGAAAATCCCACTACTTAGATAGAACCATGGTGCTTTCATGGTTTCAATGTTTGTATTTAGTTCCTGGGTTGTTTTTTCTCTGTTTGGGTGATATTTTATTTTATGACTTGATGTTTTTTTCATAAGCTGTGATGGATATCTTTCTATGTGAACAAATAGAGATTTGAGCCATAATTTTTAATGGCTACATACTCCGTCTTTCATCTCCCAAATGCTTTTGTCTTTGATTTTGTGGACTCCTCTTCGTAGGCCTGGTGTGTGTGGCGCCTTTTTGTTTGCTTGTTTTGCCCTTTTATCTTTTTTTTTTTTTTGAGACGGAGTCTCGCTCTGTCGCCCAGGCTGGAGTGCAGTGGCGCGATCTCGGCTCACTGCAAGCTCCGCCTCCAGGGTTCACGCCGTTCTCCTGCCTCAGCCTCCCGCGTAGCTGGGACTACAGGCGCCCGCCACCGCGCCCAGCTAATTTTTTGTATTTTTAGTAGAGACGGGGTTTCACCGTCGTCTGGATCTCCTGACCTTGTGATCCACCCTCCTCGGCCTCCCAAAGTGCTGGGATTACAGGCGTGAGCCACCGCGCCCGGCCGCTCTTTTCTCTTTGAGTGTAGAGAGATCTGCTTTCCTTGGTGTTTCCCCACAACATTGTAGGTGATTGTTCCTTGGTTCCCAGGGGTATGGGGATAGTTCAGGTTAGACTTTTCTTGGCTGCTGGTGCCTTGGAGGGCTGCTGGATGTGTGCAGTCTGGGCCAGTCTCTGACACACTGGCTGGTTTTCCTTGGTGTGATTCTGCAAATCCAAGGAGGGAGTCCGCTTGAGTTATATAATTGCTGCTTTTGACAAGGTAGCAAAGGAAACCTGTGGTATTCTGTGTTTTTAACATATGTCTGATTTCATCCGTGGTTGAATATGTTTTAACTTACACAGGCAGTTTTTTCACATTTCCAAATTCCTGAGAGACTCTCTTCTCGCCCTCTTCTCCATCCTTTAATGTAACAGGTTAGAGTCACGGACAAAAATTTCCTGTAGGATGATTGGAGAAAATGCGCACCCTCCTGGGAAAAGAGTCATGTGTGGTTAGCATTCCTCTTGCATAAAAAGAACACATTGCCGTAAAACGTTTCATTGGGTTATAAATTTTACCAGTTGTTCAGAGAGCCTGGTGGGGATGGTAATGGGACTCCATGCTTTGTCGTTTGAAGCCTGGTTCAGAGAACTGTGGGTTTTTGCTCTCAAATGAAGACTCGGGGAACACAATTTCCTGCGTGGTTCCAAGGTAGATACATAGGATCAATGGGGTAGAAGCTCAGGTGACAGGATTCAGCTGATGGTGAGAGCACACTGACAGTTTCTAGTCAGTATCGGGGTTCCAGTCTGGCTTGGCTCACCACTTGGCCAGGTTGTGGAGCGGGTACAAGCTGTAGGTTGGCAGCTGGGCCAGGGCACCACTGAGCCTCCTTCCAGCCCTGAGTTTGTCGTGAGGGGCTGAGTATCTATCTCTTCCAGCCCTTGCTTGGTTGCATCATAGCCCGTGAAGTAGTGTTTACGTGATGTAATTTTGTGGATTCTACATTCTGGACTAGAATACTTAGGATGTGTTCTTTTCTTTTCAGCTTACCGTGACAATCAGAGCTTTGTTGCAGAACCTGAAGGAAAAGATCGCCCTTTTGAAGGACTTATTGCTAAGAGCTGTGTCAACACATCAGATGTATCCATGTAAACATTTCCACCTCTTTTCTAGAGTGGGAGGAAAAGCAGTCGTATTTTAAGAAAGGAAGGAATCTGGGCCACCCAGATTTTCCCACAGCTTGAGGAAGACCTGGTTTCCAAAATATTGCCTGTAATCTTGATTTCTATTTTAAGTGTCTGTTACATGTTTTACAGTGAATATGCTGGCAAAGCAAGACCTACCGAGGGAATTAACTTATTTGGGTATAACCTGTACAGTTCAGGAAGCTAATGTTTTCCGTCAGTGCGGTATTTACGGAGCCCCACACTGCTCTCTGTCTAGACCGCCTTGACCATGGCTAGCTACTGCTCCAACAGGAAAACTTCCATGATCATCCTAAGCTGTGATTCCGCTTCTGGGAGTTTCCAGAGTTTTTAATGATCCATTTATTTTCGGAGTGGGCAATACCAGTAGAAACCATACATCTCTCCTCTCACCACCTGCCCCGTGTTTATGTAGATTTGAGATGTGCCTTATTTTTCCTCCAGAGGCACAGACACTGCCTCTAGTATGGGAGTGTGAGGGGAAGGGGTGGGATGGGACTTCTTGAAGCAAGTTATGCCATCATCTTAACCTCCTACCAAGTGTTAAAATATATATATATATATATGTATGTGTATATATATATATATATATATATATATATATATATATATATATATTTTAGAAATTCATAATCTGGGCCAGGTGCAATGGTTCACGCCTATAATCCCAGCACTTTGGGAGGCCAAGCACTTGAGGCCAGGAGTTCGAGACCAGCCTGGTCAACATGGTGAAACCCCATCTCTACTGAAAATATAAAAATTAGCTGGGCGTGGTGGTGCACGCCTGTACTCCCAGCTACTCAGGAGGTTGAGGCAGGAGAATCACTTGAACCTGGGAGGCGGAGGTTGCAGTGAGCCGAGATCGTGCCAAAGCACTCCAGCTTGGGCAACAGAGTGTGACCCTGTCTCAAATAATAAAAAAAGAGAAATTCATAATCTGATCAATTTAGGAAAATATACGTGACTTGTTACCTACACTAACTTTTTACACCCAAGTGTATATTGGTTTGAAAACTTACCTGAAACTGGTCTTCTCTCATCATTTCTCTAAATTGTCAGTAGGTCATGCCAAAGACCCAATTTTTGGTATTTCAGGGAATGGATATTGCCAGATTTTAAATATAAGGAAATACAGGAATACAGCTTTTTAGATAAAAAAATGGAAAGTGTTCTAAAAAATATTTTCCCCCATTGTAACACCTTTATATCACCAGGAAAGTTGGCTTAGTTGCATGGTTTTCTAGACATTCAATTACGGATCCACTAAGGTTTCAAATAAAAGTTTAATTTCAAACAATTACAGCCTTATTTTTAACGCAATTGGAATATTCTGAGATACTTTACCTTCCATCTGGTGTAATTTGTTACAGCACAGTTGGTCTATCATATAAAGGGTTTTTATTTTACCCAAATCAACAAGTCCTAATATACTCACTGCACCATTGTGCCCAGCTAATTTTTTTTTTTTTTTTTGAGACGGAGTCTTGCTCTGTTGCCCAGGCTGGAGTGCAGCGGTGCGATCTCAGCTCACTGCAAGCTCTGCCTCCCGGGTTCATGCCATTCTCCTGCCTCCACCTCCCAAGTAGCTGGGACTACAGGTGCCTGCCACCTCGCCTGGCTAATTTTTTGTATTTTTAGTAGAGACGGGGTTTCACCATGTTAGCTAGGATGGTCTCGAACTCCTGACCTCGTAATCCGCCCGCCTCAGCCTCCCAAAGTGGTGGGATTACAGGCGTGAGCCACCGCGCCCGGCCCAATTTTTGTATTTTTAGTAGTTTCAGATGGGCAGGACTGTTTCCTCTGCTTTCGGTACTAAGCACTGGGAAGTCTACACATGGCAAGGTGTGTAAATTCATGTTAGTGTTACCTAAAACACATATATTAGAAAGGTAACTACATATTGTTTCATGATATAATATGCATTTGCTTCCATTAAGGTAACATTATTAGTCACCTTATTTATGTGCTAACCCTATAGGGCAAGAAAAATATACAAATTAAGAGCTTTTACTTTTTTCTATTAATAATAATTTCTGCTAGTTATTAGAGAGTACTAAGAATACCACAGTTATAATTGACTTTGTTCTCCTAAATGCTTACAGTCTGACCATCTGTTGAAATCTTGCAGATTTTTGGTTTTGTGGTCGTCCCAGAATTACTTCCCAAATTACTGAATTAAGCAGTAAGCATCAAAAACACTGAACAAGAGTTATTTAAAACATTACAAAAATATTTAGGGGTCTTAATGTGGATAATTTAGAATTTACCAGGAGACATCAAAAATTCAACTGGAATACAACAACTTTCTTTAAAATTCTATTTATTTTTTCAAATAATTGATCTATTTCTACTGTAACAACCTGCAGCCAGTACTAGGGATGGCATTTAGCTAATCCACCCCATGAGGGCGCTCATAAACCTGTTTATTTTCAGGGAGGCCAACTTTTTTTTTTTTTTTTTTTTTGAGATGGAGTCTTGCTCTGTCGCCCAGACTGGAGTGCAGTGGCACGATCTCAGCTCACTGCAACCTCCACCTCCTGGGTTCAAGCGATTTTCCTGCCTCAACCTCCTGAGTAGCTGGGATTACAGGCACACGCCACTGCGCCCAGATAATTTTTGTATTTTTAGTAGAGACAAGGTTTCACTATGTTGGCCAGGCTGGTCTTGAACTCCTGACCTCAGGTGATCCACCCTCCTCAGCCTCCCAAAGTGCTGGGATTACAGGCGTGAGCCACTGCGCCTGGCCACGGAGGCCACTTTTGATGTAAGGGAAAGGAGGTAGCTTGTATATTATGAAGGCCTCTTTTTAATTCTCCTTCTGTTCCTCCCATCTTCCCTTCCCCTAACCTCCTTCTTCTTCCCAAACATTTAAAATAATTCTCTGGCAGTTATCTTCCAGATTTAAGATAGATAGCAATCTATGAGTCCTAATAATCTCATATTATTAGATTTTTTTGGTGCTTCCTTCTCTTCTTTACAAAGAAAGATACTGAGGCCAAGTTAAACTTTACACCGAAAGTCACTGATGAAGTTGGAGAGATAACCCGGAATTCCAGCAGAGGAGGTTTGTTGGTTTGTTTGTTTTTTGTTTTTGTTTGTTTGTTTGTTTTAGACAGAGTCTCGCTCTGTCACCCAGGCTAGAGTTCAGTGGCACAATCTCGGCTCACCGCAACCTCCGCTTCCCAAGTTCAAGCGATTCTCCTGCCTCAGCCTCCCGAGTAGCTGGGATTACAGGCATGTGCCACCATGCCCGGCTAATTTTTATATTTTTAGTAGAGACGGGGTTTCATCATGTTGTCTAAGCTGGTCTCGAACTCCTGACCTCATGATGCACCCGCTTTGGTCTCCCAAAGTGCTGAGATTACAGGCATGAGCCACTGTGCCCGGCCCCAGCAGAGGAGTTTTCTACACTGAGGAGAGGATTCTTGGAGAGCTTTAGTCATTACCCAGGACCCCACAACTAGGAAATGGAAGAGCCAGGTTCAAACACAGGCTGTGTGGCCCCAACGTGAATTGTTTAAAAGCTGAATTATACTTTAGTAGAAATAATACAGTCAGCTGTCACCTGGCATGTCTTCAACTAGAATTCTCTATGAATTGTTGTGTTACTGGACTGCCAAGACAAATCTTGTTTATAATACAAATCTTCAAGAACCGTCTTAACCATCCGAAGATTAAACAGTGTTCATTGTGGTTTATTAGGTATACTTTATGATGTTGAGAAAAATGTTTGTTCATAAATCACCAATGGAGTGACTTTTTAATCCTTTTTTTGAGGCATAATTAATGTTTGGTGACTTTTTTAATGTGAATATTTGAATACCACATTTCCTTACTGTGCTGGATAGTTGAGAATTTATGATACTTAATAAATTGATGCCTTTCTACACTTGTGAACTTGTCCAAAGAACACTAGGAGTTGCCAGAAAAGTCCTGTGCAAATGCTTTCTAAACAATGAAATTCATGGAATTAAGGCATGAGATGTTATGCTCTCTCCTGAAAAAGTATTTTTCTCCTGGCAAGAATAAAAGTCAAGTTAAAATGGAAGTTCTGTGCTTTTGAATCCATTAGCGTGCAATTAATAAACCGAAGTCTTGCAGTCAGAGAGTTTAAATTTCTGAAAGACCTTAACATCTGTTCACAGTGTTTCTTTGAGATAGGAACTATAATTGTCTTACCAGCTGAGAAGAGGGTTATGCTGTGGGAGGCTGCATATGAAATTCCAGATAGTACTAAAGATACTTAGTACCATCTTCTTAGAGTTGGCTTCACATGAAACTTATCCTTTTGTTGGCATTTCACAGGAGGCAGCACCTTTACTTATTTTAAAGAGAATAAAGAAAATCTCTTTACAGAGGGGTTTGATGTCAAAAAGTACTTTGGTGTCTTGGGAGAAGGCCTTTGGAAATAAGTTTTAAAAATCTATAAATAAATTTTCTCATCCCAGGCACTTTGGGAGGCCGAGGCGTGCGGATCACGAGGTCAGGAGATCGAGACCATCCTGGCTAACATGGTGAAACCCCGTCTCTACTAAAAATACAAAAAAAATTAGCCGGGCGTGGTGGCGGGCGCCTGTAGTCCCAGCTACTCGGGAGGCTGAGGCAGGAGAATGGCGTGAACCCGGGATGCGGAGCTTGCAGTGAGCCGAGATCGCGCCACTGCACTCCAGTCTGGGCAAAAGAGCGAGACTCCGTCTCAAAAAAAAAAAAAAAAGAAAAATCTATAAATAAATTTTCTCTACTCTATTTTTTGGAAAAACAAAGATAGGTAAGTAGATAGATAAGTGCATAGACAGATGTGGTGATTACTACATAACAAACCCCAATGGATGTGGTTGTGGAGAGGCTGACTGAACAGATTTTACAGGTAACCCCTGGTAGCTACAGTGGAGGTGAAGTGGTTTTCAAACACTGTCCCTGTCTATTGGTTTTCACTGATACTTGGTAACATGAGAAAAATAAGAAGAAGATAGTGTTTGTGTAGCAGAAGTTTTTTGATTTATAAGAACTTTTTTTCTGACTTTTTAAAGACAGGATCTCACTGTGTTGCCTAGGATGGGGGGCAGTGGCAAAATCCTAGCTCAGTGCAGCCTCAAATTCCTGGCCTCAAGAGATCCTCCTGCCTCAGCCTCCCAAGTAGCTAGGGGTCCAGGTGTATGCCACCATGCCCAGCTAATTTTTTGTAGAGATGGGGTCTCGCCATGTTGCCCAGGCTGGTCTCGAACTTCTAGTCTCAAGCGATCCTCCACCTTGGCCTGCAAAATGTTTGGATTACTGGTGTGAGCCACCATATCAAGCCTGTTTTCTGATTTATACAGAACTGTTACATGGTTCTTTCTAGTTTTTGGTGTTAAAATCTCCTTGCTTTTTCACCATGATAGTAAAAGTAGATAGTTTTGTTTCTTTTTTTTTTTCTTGAACATCCATACCTGGCAAAATGTATAATTGGTAATTCTATATAAGTTACACCCCCCCCTAGTTTTTTTGGACATATTACTGGTCCACGAAACCTGAATGTCTAGGTGCCATTGGTATCGTGGGAACAACATCGGCTCTGAAAGCAGACAGAACTGAGATTGAAGACCAGCTCTGCCACTTACCAAGGCCAAACAGCAGTTCAGCTTTTCTGGACCTTAGTTTCATTATCTGTAATGTAGGAATAATCATACTTTGCCAGGTTATTGTACAAGTTGAAGAAAATCTTTTTTCTTCACAGGACTAGCCCCCCATAATGGTGGGTGTTGAATAAAAGGTGGTTACCAACACCCCTGGGGAAGTTACTTAACCTCTTTGTGCCTCATTTGTGGAATGGGATGCTAGAAGTCCACCTGGCGTAAAGGATTGTTGTGTAAGGATGAGATTATATGCATACAGGGTGCTTCACATATACTAAGTCCTCCTTGAGGATTAGCTGCTATTGATTATTTTATCATTATTGTAAAGATTTCAGCTACCATTGAGAATTTACAGGTCATCCTTTCTTTGTGGAGTTTTTAATCATGCATGATGGTTATGTCAAAACTCACAAACAATGATGGTATTAAAATAGTACTTGCAAAATGTGATCAGTGCTTTGAGGAAGGTAAGGACTTGGCCTGGTACATCATAAATATTTATTAGAGTTTGTTGACTTAAAAAAAGAAAGCCAGAAAAGTCTTTTGACCTCTAGAACCTTAAACTGTTCCCTTGCAGTTCTTCTTTTTTGGCATGGAGAATTAATTATCTGCAAACTTCTTCCTTCGCCAGAGCAGCTCTTTCACAAAATAAGGCTTACCTAAATTCTATTTTTTTTTGAGACGGAGTTTCACTCTTGTTGCCCAGTCTGGAGCACAATGGTGCGATCTCAGCTCACTGCAACCACCGCCTCACAGGTTCAAGCGATTCTCCTACCCCAGCCTCCCAAGTACCTGGGATTACAGGTGTGCACCACTACACCTGGCTAATTTTTGTGTTTTTGGTAGAGATGGGGTTTTGCCATGTTGGCCAGGCTGGTCTCAAACTCCTGACCTCAGGTGATTCACCCACCTCAACATCCCAAAGTGCTGGGATTACAGGTGTGAGCGACTGTGCCCAGCCTAAATTCTTAAGCCTTCTACCAAATATAAGAGAAAATCCAGGAGCTGGAGTGGGATTGGGTGACCTGTGGATCCAGTTGCATATTTACCCCGCTCCATCTGTGGTTCAAATGCTCACCAGGCTACAGCAGAGAAGCTGGACTTATGCATGCTGGTAGTAGGTATCAGTAATATGAAATCAGGATCCAGTTTTATTTTTATTTTTATTTATTTATTTTTTGAGATGGAGTCTCGCTGTGTCACCCAGGCTCGAGTGCAGTGGCACGATCTTGGCTCACTGCAAGCTCCACCTCCCGGGTTCACGCCATTCTCCTGCCTTAGCCTCCCGAGTAGCTGGGACTACAGGGGATCCAGTTTTATTTACAACCTTACATATCCATGAATTGGCTATAATTACATGTACAATCAGCATAGCCAAGGACAAAGTACTATGATAGTTAGCTCTTCTCTTCCTTTTCTTTATCTGTCTGTTCTCTTATCTTCTTCCTTGGCTATTCACCAGGTTGGTGGAAGAGGAGGTTCCCCAGCACTGGCCACTGACTGTGTGCTGTACTACTTTTTTTTTTTTTTGAGATGGAGTCTCACTTTGTTGCCCAGGCTGGAGTGCAGTGGCACGATCTTGGCTCACTGCAACCTCTGCCTCCCGGGTTCCAGCGATTCTCCTGCCTCAGCCTCCTGAGTAGCTGGGACTACAGGCGTGTGCCACCACACCCAGCTAATTTTTGTATTTTTTTAGTACAGATGGGGTTTCACCGTGTTGTCCAGGCTGGTCTCGAACTCCTGACCTCATGATCCGCCTGCCTCAGCCTTCCAAAGTGCTGGGATTACAGGCTTGAGCCACCGCGCTTGGCCTGTGTGTCCTACTTTCTACTTGTCCTTAGCATCACTCAGGCACACTGTTTCCCCACTACCCTACTTTACCCAACTGCTACGCACCTGTCCACATACATGCTGTATAGATTGTTTCCTGGATGATCCTTTGACCTCTTACTAATAACAACCCTTACATAGCAAGGGTGCTATGCAGATGGTTCATTAATCAATTTATTCTCATTCCATCTCCCTCCTCCCCATCTCCTTATGCTCTGTTCTCTCCGTAGATTAAAATATAAAACAAAGAGGCAGCATGTTCCTAATTGGATTGTTTTCCAGATTTACAGAGTCTCTGGGAATATTCTGAATTCGTACTCCCAGTATTGTTTTTATCAGGATTCTAAGAAGTGGCAAAGTTAAGTCAGCATCTCAAGGTGGAGAAGTCTGCAGAATGTTTGGTGGAAAAGCCATGAGCTAGGGTTGAAAGAGCTGTCACCTAGCATGGCTGTTAACCCAGGCAAGTGACTTAGCCATGCTCACCCTTAATTTCTGGTCAGCAAAACAAGAGAACTGGGATCTTTAAGGCCTCTTCTAGCATCAACTGTGTGGGTTTCTGTTCTTTGGTTACTCATCTACAAAACATAGTCATCAAGTTTTACTGTTTCTGAAACTGATGTTCTTTGTTAGCTCCTTCTTGACGTAAGTTTAAATCTGTAACTAGTATCTGCTGATTTTAAAATGTACCTTTATTGTTTTTATTACAAAAAATATTATACTTTCTACTGATACATTTCTCATTAGTTATTACCAATGACTCCTCTTTCTCTTCCTTATTCTATCCTGTCTCATCTCATTCTTTATAGTTAAGTGTTAATGGTTGGTAGCTAGTATCTCAGACTTTTCTAGGCTTGAAATATATGCATATGTAAACATAAAATTCCTTTGACTATAAAGGGATTATATTATACATATGGTTCTGAAGCTTGTGTTTTTATTAATTAGCAGATGATAGAGACAAACATTAGGAAACAATATTCAGTGAAACATCAGTCTCTCTTATACCCTTAATCCTCAGTTGTCCTTCCTTAGAGGCAATGTTTATATATCAGAAATTTTCTGTGTGTATATACACACATATATAGTTAGGATTTTTTTTTAACAAAGTGGGAGCACACTACTCACTGTTTAGCTCCTTGCTGCTGCTGTTTTTTTCCCCTCCTTTGGTTTAATGTTATATTTTGTAGATTATTCCATGTCAAATAATTCATGTAAACACTTAGTAAGTGCTCAAAAATGTTAATTATCATTATCAGCCCCCTAAACAGCTTTCCTATTCTTTTTTTAAGGCTGCAAAACATTCCATTGTTTACATACACTAGTTACTTATTGATATTTCCAATGTGGCTATTATAAATAATGGTTCAGTGGACATCCTTGCTTCTAAGTCCTTGTAGGACTGTATCTGAGGAAGAAATGTCTGTTGAAAGACTGTACCTTTTATATTTTGTTAGGTATTTAGAAGGCAGTCTAGCAGTTGGTTGAACCTGTTTGCATTCCTATCAAGAATGTATGAGGTGGCCGGGTATGGTGGCTCATGCCTGTAATCCCAGCACTTTGGGAGGCCGAGGTGGGTGGATCACTTGAGGTCAGGAGTTCGAGACCAGCCTGGACAACATGGTGAAACCCCATCTCTACTGAAAACACAAAAATTAGCTGGGCATGGTGGCATGTGCATGTAATCCCAGCTACTTGGGAGGCTGAGGCAGGAGAATTGCTTAAACTCTGGAGCTGGAGGTTGCAGTGAGCCAAGATCATGCCACTGCACTCCAGGCTGGGCGACAGAGGGAGACACTGTCTCAAAAAATAATAATAATAATAAAGAAAGAATGTATAAGGTCAGGTGAAGTGGCTCATGCTTGTAATCCCAGCACTTTGGGAGGCAGGAGGGTCACTTTAGATTAGGAGTTTGAGACCAGCCTGGCCAACATGGTGAAATCCTGTCTCTCAAAAAAACCCACAAAAATTAGCTGGGTGTGGTGGTGGACACCTGTAATCCCTGCTACTTGGGGAGCTGAGAGGAGAATTGCTTGAACCCAGGTAGTGGAGGTTGCAGTGAGCCAAGGTTGCAACACTGCATTTCAGCCTGGGATGATAGAGCAAGACTCCATCTTAACAAAACAAAACAAAAAAAAAAAAAAGAAAAGAAAAGAAAAGGAAAGAATGTATGAGAGTGTCTGGTTCCTTGTCCCTTTCCAAAACTGTCTTCTCAGTTTCCTAATCTGATAGGTGGAAGTGGTATCTTGTTTTAGTGTGTATTTCTTTTCTTTTCTTTTCTTTTTTCTTTTTTTTTTTTGAGACGGAGTCTTGCTCTGTCACCC
This sequence comes from Homo sapiens, assembly GCF_000001405.40. NCBI lineage: Eukaryota > Metazoa > Chordata > Mammalia > Primates > Hominidae > Homo > Homo sapiens. Next base: position 9,547,602 of record NC_000017.11, on the reverse strand, counting down.
AGGCTGGAGTGCAGTGGCACAGTCTCGGCTCACTGCAACCTCCGCCTCCCGGGTTCAAGTGATTCTCCTGCCTCAGCCTCCTGCGTAGCTGCGATTGTGCGCCACCATGCCCAGCTAATTTTTGTGTTTTTAGTAGAGATGGGGTTTCACCATATTGGTCAGGCTGGTCTCGAACTCCTGACCTCGTGATCCACCTGCCTTGACCTGCTGGGATTACAGGCGTAAGCCACCACACCTGGCCAGATATATTTTAAAAGTGTTTGTTAGCTTTCTCCACTCATTCATTTTATGGCAGAAGTTGTTTCCAAACATATCCTTTACTGTGTTTCTTTTTTCTTTTTTTTTTTTTTTTTTTTGAGACAGAGTCTCGCTCTTTCACCAGGCTGGAGCGCAGTGGCGCGATCTCGGCTCACTGCAACCTCCGCCTCCCGGGTTCAAGCGATTTTCCTGCCTCAGCCTCCCGAGTAGCTGGGACTACAGGCGCACGCCACCACGCCTGGCTAGTTTTTATATTTTTAGTAGAGACGGGGTTTTACCGTGTTTGCCAGGATGGTTTCCATCTCTTGACCTTGTGATCCGCCCACTTCAGCCTCCCAGAGTGCTGGGATTACAGGCGTTGAGCCACCGCGTCCAGCCCTTCTGTGTTTCTTAACATACCACACACATAGACACAGTTCAGCCTAAAAACAAACAAACAAAAACTTGTGTCTGGGCGCACTGGCTCACACCTGTAATCCCAGCACTTTGGGAGGCTGAGGTGAACGGATCATGAGGTCAAGAGATCGAGACCATCCTGGCCAACATGGTGAAAACCTGTCTCTACCAAAAATACAAAAAATTAGCTGCGCGTGGTGGCACGTGCCTGTAGTCCCAGCTACTCAGGAGGCTGAGGCAGGAGAATCGCTTGAACCCGGGTGGCGGAGGTTGCAGTGAGCCGAGATCGCGCCACTGCACTCCAGCCTGTAGACAGAACAAGGCTCCGTCTCCAAAAAAAAAAAAAAAAAAAAAAAACCACTTTTGTAGTTTGCATCAAGAAAGCTAGTATATAAAACTTTGTACTTAGTCCAAGGGAAGTGGCGCCGGTTGTTGACAGACGCCACTTCCCTTTTTGCTTCATGCGCACGCGCCGCATTCTCGTCCACCTATTGGTGAATTGTAGGTTTCTTTCCAAAGACTACATTTCCCAGAAGGATGGTTGTTTGGTTTTTTTTTTTTAACCATCACTTATGAATTGTTGTGGAAAAGATGTTAGAGACTATTTAGTGTTACATATAAAGAAAGAGAGATCCCAAAAGGTGAAATAACTGGTTCAAGAGCATAGATAGTGGAATAGGGCTACAACTCTGCCTCTGGGGCTCCTAGTCTAGCGTGTTTGCTAGATTCACACATTAAAATGATTCTCTTTGTAATTTTCTTTACAAATCATGCAATGTATTTAAATAGTGAACTGATGGTAACAATTTATAGAGCAAATCTGTTGCATAAAGTAGCACTTTATAAATATCCTAGGTGTGTTAATAGATATTAACATGGAAGAAAGAGAGCAATATAGAGAACTTCTCTCCCCCAGCGCCCCCACTTTTTTAAACAGAGCATCTTAGGGTATTAATATGTAGGAAAATGCCCTGGAACACTGACACACACATATAACTCAAAACCTAAGGAATCACTGAGCCAGGTTGCACCATTGGCAGGAGAAGTCATTTAAATTTGGTCACTGGGGCTGGGCGTGGTGACTCACGCCTTGTAATTCCAGCACTTTGGGAGGCCAAGGCAGGCAGATCACCTGAGGTCATGAGTTCGAGACCAGCCTGGCCAGCATGGCAAAAACCCGTCTCTAATAAAAATACAAAACTTAGCCGGTTGTGGTGGTGCACGTCTGTAAGCCCAGCTACTCGGGAGGCTGAGGCAGGAGAACTGCTTGAACCCGGGAGGCAGAGGTTGCAGTGGGCCGAGATCGCGCCATTGCACTCCAGCCTGGGCGACAGAGCGAGACTCTGTCTCAAAAATAAGTAAATAAGTTTGGTCACGGGGAGGAAAGTAATATTTACCTGGTATATTTCTCAATGAAAAACTTGTGTCATGATCCACGTCAGTGTTTATAAGTGCCTCTGCGATGGTCCTGCCAAGGTCCTTTACCTGACGGCCTGGTGAAGGTGAAGGTCAGAGCAGGAAAAACGCAAGAGTGGTGCGCATCCCTTCTGGGTAGTAGTGATTACAGTCTGTAAAAGCCACAACTGACTTGAAGAGCTAACTTAATAATGTAATAGTTAAAACGAGGTCATTTATTCACCATTGAACCTTAACAAGATATCTGCAGAACACAGCTTGAAGGGGACCGAAGACAGAACCTCTTGGATGATCTTGTAACTCGAGAGAGACTACTTCTGGCATCCTTTAAGAATGAGGGTGCCGAACCAGATCTAATCAGGTAGGATGTTTTTATTTACAGGGATTACTTGGTGGGCGAAGACTTCTTTGCAGATACTACAGCTGTTTCCTGAATGGCTTACTTTAGGAATTAATCAAAATCTATTCTATTCATTTATGGTGTTTGACTATAATTTTCTACTCAATTTAGTTTTCGTTAATTTTTGTTTGTTTGTTTGAGACAGAGTCTCGCTCTGTCACCCAGGCTGGAGTGCAGTGGCGTGATCTTGGCTCTCTGCAAGCTCCACCTCCCAGGTTTCCACCATTCTACTGCCTCAGCCTCCCAAGTAGTTGGGATTACAGGCGCCCACCGCCACCGTGCCCGACTAATTTTTTGTATTTTTAGTAGAGATGGGGTTTCACCGTATTAGTCAGGATGGTCTCGATCTCCTGACCTCGTGATCCGCCCGCCTTGGCCTCCCAAAGTGCTGGGATTACAGGTGTGAGCCACTGCGCCCGGCCAGTTTTCGTTAATTTTCTGGGTTTAGTAAACCAGGTATGTTCAGCTGAATCCCATCTTGGGTGGAACATACTAAGGGAGACTGTGGGTGAAGTCAGAACATTTCTTTGGCATTCTTTGGTTGAGTTTTCTGCTTTGTTAACTGCCTTCTAAACTCCTGAGGTCACTACTTCTCTGTGTGGGCAAAGCAGTTTTTTGTTTTTTTTTTTAATTGGCATATTGAGAACATGAGTCCTAATAAGACTGGTCCGGGGCTCACAGAGGCAAAGGAGTTGGATCCTCCTCCCCATTCTTCGCCAGTGAGTGATTCACACTTCAAAGAGCTGACAGCTGCTCTGAGCCCGGTTCTGCTGGAAGACCTGGAGGACGGGTCGGGCTTTCCAAGGCTGAGGTTGATGAACCGTAAATTGCTACCTCTTTAGAATTGGCCTCCCCCTGTTTCTAGAACTTCCTTAGCTTCATCGTGGGAACCATCACAGAAGGCAATGAGCTTGGGTGGAAACCCGCCTCTCCTCATCTTCCACGCTAGGGTTGATGCATTTATCGTGGAGAGGAGCTTGTTTCTAGTTGGTTTCCAGTTAGGAATAGTGTGGCTTCCCAAGGGCAGTGGTTTTGGACCCTAGCCGTGCATTGTCAGACTCCACCTCTGACAGGTGAACCAGAGTGGGATTGCGGTGGAGGGGCAGAGGGGCAGGGAGGTCTCAGGTGATTCTAATATACAACCCAGATTGCAAACAACTGCCTAGAACAAGCTGAAGAAAATGAAACTGATTTTCCTGTGGGTTCCAGTCTTCTCAGGAGCGGCGATCCAAGGTTCCATGAAGAAACTGTGAAATACAGGAAGGTAGATGAAATGTTAAGTTGCTTCTGTGAAGAAATGAACCTAAGAGTCAGTTAGGGAGGGGTGATACTCTGTTGGCAGTCTCCTGGGCAGGGTTTAAATGAAGATAGAAGCCTGTGCTGGGCCAATCTACTGTGGTTCCCAATATTTCCCTGGCATATTCAGTCCCAGGGTACAGGGGTGAAGTATGTGGATGAAGGTGGTGGTCCAGGTTGGTCAAAGAGAACAGGTGAGCAAAGGAATCAAAGGTGAAAAGAAAGTACTGTCGCCTGGGTGCAGTGGCTCACGCCTGTAAGCCTAGCACTTTGGGAGGCCAAGGTGGGTGGATTGCCTGAGCTCAGGAGTTTGAGACCAGCCTGGGCAACAAGGTGAAATGCCATCTCTACTAAAATACAACAACAACAACAAAAAAGTAGCCGTTGTGGTGGCGGGCACCTGTAGTCCCAGCTACTCAGGAGGCTGAGGCAGGAGAATTGCTTGAACCTGGGAGGTGGAGGTTGCAGTGAGCCGAGATCACGCCACTGCACTCCAGCCTGGGCGACAGAGCAAGACTCCGTCTCAAAAAAAAAAACCAAAAAACTGTCTTCTAGAAGGGGCTTTACACTGAAGGCAGAGTCTTTTTAGTCAAGAAATTAATAAGGACATAGGTAGGACGGGGAGCTTGTTTCATGGAGGAATAGTGGTCATGTAGACAGATGATGGTCAGAAAGAGGACAAAACATTCAGACTATTCTGCTTGGTAGTGATGAGGCAGTCGTGATGAATAGTCATGGTTCCCATTTGAGAAGAGCATGTTTTGCACCAGACTCTGCTCTTTGCTTCTCATTAATTGTGCCACTTAATGATGCTGAAGGGGCCAACCTAGGAATTTAGGCTGAGGACCTCTGAAGTCTTCCCACCAGGTCCTTGTTTGTTTTGTTAGTTTTTGGTCCCCGCTTGCCTGCCTTTGTCACCCCTCTTCTCTGATCATCTCTGTGTCCTTTACAGTGTGACTTGCTGATAAGCAGCATCAGCATCACCTGGCAGTGTGTTACAAACTCAGAATTTTCCAACCCGAACCCCAAACTACAGAATTAAAACTTGCATTCTAACAAGATCATCAGGTGATTTGAATGCACATTACAATTTAAGAAATAACTGCTTTGTATCATTTATTCCTTATTTATTTATTTATTTATTTATTTATTTATTTTTTGAGATGGAGTCTTGCTCTGTCGCCCAGGCTGGAGTGCAGTGGCGCAATCTTGGCTCACTGCAAGCTCCGCCTCCCAGGTTCACACCACTCTCCTGCCTCAGCCTCCCGAGTAGCTGGGACTACAGGCGCCCGCCACCATGCCCGGCTAATTTTTTGTATTTTTAGTAGAGACAGGGTTTCACCATGTTAGCTAGGATGGTCTCGATTTCCTGACCTCGTGATCTGCCTGCCTCGGCCTCCCAAAGTGCTGGGATTACAGGCGTGAGCCACAGCTCCCGGCCCTTGTTTTTTTGTTGTTGTTTTTGTTTGTTTTGTTTTTGAGACGGAGTTTTGCTGTGTCACCCAGGCTTGAGTGCAGTGGCACAATTTCAGCTCGCTGCAACCTCCGCCTCCCGAGTTCAAGTGATTCTCCTGCCTCAGCCTCCCGAGTAGCTGGGATCACAGGCACGCACTACCACGCCTGGCTAATTTTGTATGTTTGGTAGAGATGAGGTTTTACCATGTTGGCCAGGCTGGTCTTGAACTCCTGACCTCAGGTGATCTGCCTGCCTCAGCCTCCCAAAACGCTGGGATTACAGCCATGAGCCACTACACCTGGCCTGTGTCATTTATTCTTAATCGTGGCACTTTGCATCAGAATCACCCAAGAGAGAATGGAAAAAAAAAAAAAAATACAAATGTTTAGACCATGTACTTGCAGAGTCTGATTCATAGTCTTGGGTGAGGCCTGGGCAGCAGTAAGGCTGGGGAGACTACCGGGTGGTTTTAGTAGGTGGCAGGGTTAGAACGACTGCTCTATGTCACAGTGTACTAGTCATGAGACCTATAGCTTATGTCTGCTATTTGTTTTTTATATGGTAGGCACTGTGCTAAGCTCTTTATGTGCATTTGCTCAGGAGCTCTTTATAATGCCCCATTTTGCAGAAGAGAAACAGGCTCAGAGGGTTCAAGATTCTAAAGCTAATCAGTCATAGAACTTGGATTTTAGCTCTGAACTTGTAACCATTGCACCATAAAAAGAGCTGGATGAGGTGTTAGAAGGACCCAGTTCTGTAGCTTTCTAGTCTGTCAGTCATGTGGGCTTTGAAGTCATTGACCTTAGACTGGGGATACATGTGCTGCCCATTTTTCGTTGTTGTTAGGACCAGATGAAGTGATTGCTATGAGACAGGCTTTGTAAACTCTAAGACCTTTATAAATACAAGATGTTATTACTGGAGCATTGTGTCTCCATCCGGCTAGGAGGGAACTCAGGCTGCCTCATTGCTTCGGAGATCTTCTGTCCCTCGTGCCCTGCCCCCTGATTGCTCTAGAAGGACGTGGTCTGTCTGACCCCATCATACGCTGCACCTGGTCCTCTGCCCTCCATTCTCCTCTTCCACATCTCATTTGTTCCGTGTCTGCTTCCCTCCGTGCCCAGCTTGCTGCCTATTGTCTTATTAGTGAACAATCTCATGTTAATTCTAGCAGTGGAATCAACGGCTGCCAATGTCTTGTCTTCTGGAGGTATTTTCACCGAAACCTCCTTAAACCCTAGGATTGAAACCACAGTGAATTAGTTGATGGGAATGTTTAGGGAATTTGGCAGGTTAGTGTCAGGTGGTTTTTTTGGATGGAGGCCTTCTGAGGACCTCTTGGGTCCTGCCACTGGGACTGCCTTCTGCTCTTCATGCCCATAAGGCTGATCCATGTGGTGGACTAAAGCTGTTGCTTGTTGGTGTGTTGGTGAATGGCTGAGTGGCATGGGGACAGAGATCATACTGGGGAGACACTGTCAAGCAAAGGTAACTGAATCCCTGAGGGTTGAAATAAAGTTACTGGCCAGACTTATTTACATGCTCTCAAGATGAAACCAAGGGCAACATAGAGATTGGTGTATCTTTTCTGTTCAGGACCAGAAGTCTAGGATGGTTCAGAATAAGGTTCTAGAAGAATTCTGTTTAAAAATAATGTAAGTACTGTCAAGGAGAAATGACTCCTGTGGAGTGATTTGGAGAAGGTAGACGTGGACATAACACACAATGATGGTCCGTTCTGGATGACATGGAGTCTGGCCAAGAGCGGGAAACCAATGTGGCGACTGGACATTGAGCACCATGAAGAAAGAAAATCATTGCAGATACAGAGAGGAAGGAGAATGATGTCGGTGGCCTGGAAGGTGAATTTCTCATTCACTTCCATTGGTGATTCCTTGTTGGGCTAGGATTGCTTTAGACCCAACACCGTAACGGGAACATGTCCGCATATGCTTGTCCAAAAAGTGCAAGTCCTGTAGACATTCCAGAGAAGTCTGATCAATAAGAAAATTCATACTAGACAAAAGCACTCTCATAAGCTATGTAGAAAAGTCCCCGGGAAATCTGCTCAAGGGCCATGAGAACAAATACCCAGCTAGCTAGCGTTGCTCCAACTAGTCAGGGAAGATGGCACCATGTGGACCTATCGAGGACCAGCAAGAAGTGTATGGAGGAGTGAATGCTAAAGCTGAAGTGGACTGCTGGAAGTGGATTTTCTTAGATTTGAGGTCAGAGTTGCTGTTGTTTGATTTCCTTCACCTGCCTATGTAAGAGTATTATTTTTGCCTTCTTTACTCCTAATCCCCATCCTTGAGACCTCCCCTTCTTTCCCCAACTTCTCATACCTAATAGTTCTCTTGTTGGACCTAGCCTTCCAAGGACTTTAATTCAGTTGTAAACATGACTTGTTCATTATATGACATGTTCAATTACAATTCGATTGTATCCCCTTCCCTCCTGATTGTCAGTTGCCTAGTCATTTCTAATACCAACTCTTAGGGAACGCTCAGCTCTATCTATCTTTGGAGAAACTCATTCCTTTCTCTGCCAGTTGGTTTCTGTAGTATCTCCAATGACTTGCAGAGATTTCCTTAGTCCTCTCTACAGTTAATTCCTAGTTCTAGGCTCCTCCAACATTTTCGTTTGCTTCTCTAATCTCTGGATTCCTCCAGCATTTTTCTTTGCTTCTGTAGTTCTTGGTTTTGGGGTGGGGGGGGTCAGTTGGGTTGCTTTGTCACTTTGTGAGTGGAGGGTAGGTGTCTTTCCCTTAATTCATGACTTCCAGAAGCATGGTGGCCAGAAAGCCTTGTCAGAACTTTGAAATGTTATAGACGTGCTCACTATGGCACATTTTGTCAGGAATGCTAGACCATGACCACAACACATTTACTGTTAGAGAACTGGGGTTAATCTGCTAATCAACATTTCCCTAGTAACTGGCAGCAATGCCACAAGATCTGTTTACCCTACCAGGACTCGCTTGGAACCTGGTGAGCCTCCCTTCCTAGAGCCCCTACCTCTGTTTCCCTCTTTTTCATTTACTTTGCACAACGCTCTTTTCCTCTCTTTCTTCCCCATCCCTCATTCCCGAGGGCCTTTCCATCCCTCTTTTCCCTCTTTTCTCTTCTTCCTCATATGTGGCCTTATTAAGGAGAGTCAAGAATGGTCAAACTTCAGTTTGGATTAGCATTTCCTTTAAACAGACATTAATGTGGCAATCACATAATTGAATGTATAGCTGTCATGTGACAGAATCTTAGTTTTACCTTACGGATTACTGGTCATTATTCTAAAGCAGTAAGCCTTGGTCTAAATAAGCAATGGTTGACTAATTTAGGGTATTTGGAAACTTGTTAAAGAAGTCTCTGTGCAACAGTGTCTCTTAGAAGAAGATAAGCCCTGTCTCATAAAGCAGTGACACAGCTTCTGATTTAAAACCCTCCCGCCCTTTATATTCGAGAGCATTGCTAAATCTCACAATTAGTTAAATCTTTGCCTGTAAAGAGAAAAAAAAAAACCAAAACCATTGCATACTCCACTGCTCTGTGACCATCTCAAAGATTATGTGATTAACTCAGCTGCAGTGGGTGGCTAATTGGCTAAGCTTTAATCTTCACACCACCAACTCTGTAGAGGATTATAGGGAATAGGAAGTTGTTTAGAGTTTGAGGTGGTAGTTGTATGTCAAGAAGGATATATTAACAAGCAGACCAATTGCTAAAATCAAAAGAAGATGATAATGAAACGTCTACGTTTTCTCAGAGTGCAGATTTTTAAATTTAATTTTAGAGATAGGCTTTTCTCTTGCACTACTGACAAAACATGATATTTCCAATGTGTATTTCATATCAGTATATCGGTAGCCAAGATGGGCAAAAGAAAAATTTACATTAAATTCTAACATTAAAAATGCTCCTCCCCATTTGAAACCGTTGAATGTTTTATTTCAATTTAAATGTTGATTTACAAGAAGGATGATTTATGTCCCATAGTACTTAGATTTCCTAAAGAATCATTGATTTATACTTCACATTGCTTAATGTTGTTACCACGTGACCAACCTACTCTTCTAGAAGAAGGAAGTTGCTAAGGAATATACATCCATATCATAAACCCCCTTCTCTCTTTTATGTATGTCCCTGAAATACAGTGACGTCCTAGCTTTTCTGATGTGCAAGGGTGTGCTGAAATCAGTACAGATTTGCTTTGTCCTCTACGTGAGTGTAGGGGCAGTTGAACCCCAAGGAGTTACTAAGTACAGTCAAGAATATTACAGTTTCCTGCTAGTTTAATGAAAAATAGGTAAGGAAGTAAAAATGTGGTAAAGCAAACCTTCCTTCATTAAGTAGATCTTTATTGAGTGCCTACTATGTGCTATACACTGATACTGGGAGTGTAGTGGTAAAACCAAAACTACAAAAGCACCTACTTTTTGCAGTTGAGCCATGTACAGTCCAGGGAGAGAGACAGACATGAAATAAAGAATCATACAATCAGTAAAATAAGTTCAAAAAAATAGATTGTATTTTGAGAGCATATTAATAGGAAGCTGATTTAGCTAGGGAGACTGTATGGTTAATACTTAACTGCTTTTCTCTTTTGCAAGTGTATATTTTGTCTCTTGATCTATATTTTAAATACCTCAAGGACAGAGACCAAAGCCTAGCACAATTTTTAATAAGTAATTGCTCAATGAATGAGCGTCTTCATGCACTTTTCTGTATCTTCCGTAACATCCAGCCCAGAGTTGGGTATACAGCAGGTGTGTTGTTGATTCAGCACATGTTTGTTGACAGAAAGATTGAGCCAGGACGTGATAGACTGTGTTAACAAACCTGCGAATGTCACACTTTTAATACATGAAAGCTTTTTTGCCTGCCTCGTGTAAAGTCTGTCACGTAAAGGTGACTCCGAGCTTCAGGTTGCTTCCATCTCTGGGCTGTGCTCTCATGACACAAGGCGTGCGTGTTCCCTGTGACTGGAGAAGAATGAGGGTGTGGAGAACTCACATCTGTCTTCTATGCCTTGGCCTGCAAGTTTCACACACTCAGCCCCTTGGCCATAACTAGTCACGTGGCTCCAACCTAGCTCTGAGGGCGGCTGGGGGATGTAGTCTTTCTGTATACTCAAGAGGAGGGCCTGGTGAAGCATGCAGCTTTGTCTCTGCCTCGCTAATTATTTTGGGTAGTTTGATGGAAAGACAAATAGCTTTGGTGCAGCCTTGCTGCTTTCTTCTTGAGCAACGATTAGAATCAGAAGTTACTGAAGCCACGCAAGGTGGGCTAAGAGGTGCCCATGGGGGGATTAGTTTGTCATTTATAATGCCCGTTCTTGGCTGGATGCGGTGGCTCATGCCTGTAATCCCAGCGCTTTGGGAGGCCAGGGCGGGGGTGGATCACGAGGTCAGGGGTTTGAGACCAGCCTGGCCAACATGGTGAAACCCCGTCTCTACTAAAAATAATAAAAAAAATTAGCCGGGCATGGTGGCGGGCGCTTGTAATCCCAGCTATTCGGGAGGCTGAGGCAGGAGAATCTCTTGAAACCAGAAGGTGGAGGTTGCAGTGAGCTGAGATCGTGCCACTGCACTCCAGCTTGGGCAACAAGAGTGAAACCCCATCTCAAAAAAAAAAAAATAATAATAAGCCCATTCTTGCAGAGTTCAGAGTTTACTCAGGAAGGGGAAATGTATACAAAGACAGATCACAGCACAGTGGAATTAGTGCAGATGGGTGTGTAGAAGTGTGATGAACACCAGAAGGGAAGGTTGTTTCTTCAGCATTCAGGGAGGAGGACAAAGGAGTCTGGAAAAGCAGGTTGTGCTTATTGTCCTGACCCACTCTGACTGACGATTGTTAAGGGGGTGCCTGGGTTTAGCTCTCTAGACTAGTATAGCAGTTGGCTGCTCTCAACCACATATAACAGATTACCCTGCTCAAAATGGCTTAAATAGGGAAAAACATCCCGTGAAGTAAGTTGCAAGTTAGAGAAGTGAGAGGGTTGATTGACAGCCCAGTGATGCCGTCAGGGCTTCGGGTAGTTGCTGTCTCTTCATTTCCCTTCATCTCCCGATACTCGATGTCGGCTTTCCCTTCCGAGTGACTCCTCTCGTGGTCTCAGAATAGCTACAGCAGTTCCCAGCCACACTCCAAGCATAACAATAGAAGAGAAAGGAGAATGTGTTTTGCATAAGTAATATAATTCATATGGCTAAGAAATCTGCAAAGCATTGAACAGGATTCAGTGAAAAATCTTCCCACTATGTCTCCTTCTCCTCAACATAAGTAATTACTCTCAATAATTTTTGGCATATCCTTCTAGGGTTCTCTTAAGCACATACCAGCAAATAGGAATATATTATCTCCCTCCATCTTTTACACACATGGTAACATATCATACATAGCATTCTGCAACATTCTTTTGTCACCTGATCGAATATCTTGGAGATTTTCCCAATCGTGACGTAAGGTTTTGTCATTAGTTTTTGTAGCCTTATAATATTTCATTGTATGCATTTACTGTCATTTAACTAGGCTCTTATATATATGCGAGTATTGTTTTCAGTCTTTTTCTATTACAAAAATATAGTAGAGGGATTTTGCATATGTGAAAGTATATCTCTAGGTGAGTTCTTAGAAGTAGGATGGCTGGAGGATGGGCACGATGGCTCACGCCTGTAATCCCAGCACTTTGGGAGGCCAAGGCGGGCAGATCATGAGGTCAGGAGATTGAGACCATCCTGGCTAACACGGTGAAACCCCGTCTCTACTAAAAATACAAAAAATTAGCCAGGCGTGGTGGCGGGTGCCTGTAGTCCCAGCTACTCAGGAGGCTGAGGCAGGAGAATGGTGTGAACCCGGAAGGTGGAGCTTGCAGTGAGCCGAGATTGCGCCACTGCACTCCAGCCTGGGTGACAGAGCAAGACTCCGTCTCAAAAAAAAAAAAAAAAAAAAAAAAAAGTAGGATGGCTGGGTCAGAGGGTATGTGCGTTTGTAATTTCAATAGCATTTCACAAGTTATTTTCTAGCGGGGTAGAACCCCTCTAGACTTGTGCCAGCAATTTAGGTGAGTGCCTGTTTTCCAACAGTCTTTCCCAAAGAAAGTTGTTAAACTTTTGTATCCTACTCCAGACTAACATATAAAGAGAGTTTTATATAGTAATATCTTAGTAGAGTTTTATGTAATTATTATATATAACTATAGTGAACCAAGGTTATAAAGAAATTCTCCTGTGCTTTTTTCTGGTACTTCTGTGGTTTTATAACTGTTAAATCTTTGATCCATTTGGAATTTAATTGGTGAAGAGTATGAATCCTACGTTTTTCCTACTTGGCTCTATTCTATTTTTGTGACTGACGATATTTTTTACTTAGTAGTTCATCTTCTCATCTTCAGATGTAAGATGCTGCATTATCATAGAATACGTTCCCATATGTATTTTGATCTATTTCTGGACTTTGTAATGTGTTCCATTGGTCCTTCTGTCTACTTATGTGCTAGTACCACATTTTCTAAAATATGGATACTTTAAGTTTTAATATGTGATAGGACAAATCTGCCATTAAACTTCTTTTTAAGAGTTTTGCCTTTTTTTTTTGAGACAGAATCTCACTGTGTCGCCAGGCTGGAGTGCAGTGGCGCAATCTCGGCTGACTGCAACCTCCGCCTCCTGGGTTCAAGCAATTTTCCTGCCTCAGCCTCCCAAGTAGCTGGGATTACAGGTGCGCACCACCATGCCCAGCTAATTTTTGTATTTTTAGAAGAGACGGAGTTTCACCATGTTGGCAGGATGGTCTCAATCTCTTGACCTCATGATCCGCCTAGCTCGGCCTCCCAAAGTGCTGGGATTATAGGTGTGAGCCACCACGCCTGGCCGAGTTTTGCTTATTTTTTAACATGAATTCTAGAATCAGCTAATGTAATTCCAAAAGAGAGAACAACTTTTAAAAACAATTGGGATTGTGTTAAATCTTGAAATCCTTTACAATGTTGAATTTTCTCATCCAAGATTGTGGGATTTGTTTGTTTGTTTGTTTGTTTGTTTGTTTCTCCAAGGCATTTTTCAGGTCTTTCAGTAACGTCTTCTTCACAAAAGTCTAACATGTTTTTGGTCAAATTTATTTGTTTTTTTTTTAATCTTTTTGGTTGCTGTTTTAAATCCAGGTTTTTTAAATTGTACTTTTCTATTGTTGTTGTTTATATGAAAACTATCAATAATTAATGTCCGTTATTAATATTAAAGCCATTTTCTTAATTCTCTAATAGCTTTTAGCATTTTTTTATCTTGGCTTTTTTTGTATTTTTCAGTTATTTCTTTTTAAAGAGCAATGAAATGCTTCCTGGAAGCTGCCTAATTGACTCTGGCTCAAAATAGAAATAGACTATTGTATCACATGATCATGTTATACCAAAAACGATGGGAGAATGGGGTTGCTGTGGTTGACTAGGTTAGTTCAGGAGGGAGATATTCTTGAGCTGAAAATGAGGATGAGGTTATGGTCTCTGAGCAGTGGAGCCCTGAACAAAATTGAGGTTCTGATAACAAGGAAGATGAGACATACTGATGTTGGGTAGGCAAGTTGTAGTGTCTGTATCAACCCTTCTCTGCAACTCCCTAAGCAATAGCAACGCTGTTCTTGAAGTTTCTTGAAGAACCAGAGACTCAAGGTTCAATTCTTTGACCTCATTAAGAACCTTCTTTCTTGTCACTTCTCCTTTTATTGAAATCCCAGAGAGTTAGTCACTCGCTGGCCTTTTGGGTTGTTTTATTTAGGCTCAAGTGAACCTTAGTCATTACTTTAAGTCTTCAATTCACTTTTTAAAGAAGCTGGGATGTTTACACCTATCACTTGTCTTCCTGAAGAGGCTTAGGAGAAGTACTTTTGAAGTGCAAGCGGTTTTTTTGTTTTGTTTTGTTTCGAGATGGAGTCTCACTCTGTCACCCAGGCTGGAGCAGTGGCACGATCTTGGCTCACTGCAGCCTCTGCCTCCGAGGTTCCAGTGATTCTCCTGCCTCAGCTCCCAAGTAGCTGGGACTACAGGCACATATCACCCTGCCCAGCTCATTTTTGTATTTTTATTAGAGACGGGGTTTGACCATGTTGGCCAGGCTGGTCTTGAACTCCTGAACTCCGGTGATCCACCTGCCTCGGCCACCGAAAGCCGTGGCATTACAAGGCGTGAGCCATCGTGACCAGCCTGCAAGCAATTTTAACGTGACACATTGATACAGTTTCATAGAGCTGGTTTCTTCTGCAGACAGATAATCTTGTATATATTTTGTTAATTCTTGTTTAATTCTATTTTGAGAAGTAGTAGCTTCTGACTTTTTCTACACATTCTGGTGAAATGTTAATAGATAATTTGGTGCAAGGACTGATAGAATGACAAAGGGAGTATTTGAAGTAGGAACTGATAAAAAAAATTTGGAATATATGTTGCCTTAGCACATTTTTTTCCAGTCTTTATGCTGCATCATCTTTTTTTTGCTTCACAGTATATATTGAAGACGATGAAGCAGAATGTTTAGGGTAATACGCTTAACTAATGGTCTGATACCAGCCATATAATGTGTACAGTGACCATGTTTTTCTTGGAGAGAGAAACTAGATATGTCATATGATGAGGTATTTTTTGGGACTCTTCTTGGTGGAAGAGTCGGTTTGGTTGATAGTGTTAGGTCAAAATGTTGACCATTCCAGTGGTTTATGGGAATGAATATTTGTTTTTGAAGAATGTTTTTTAAATATAAATTTATTTTTAAAGTAATTTGTTACATTGTTAAACTGTACAAAATTGTAATCAATGAAAATTCAGGCTCTTTCTACTTCTCACCTACAGTTTCCCATTTTCTTCCCCAGAAGCAGCCACTTTTAACAGTTTTCTGTGTGTGTGCCCTTCCAGAAGGATTCTACACGTATCCAAGGATACATGCACGGGCCCATATCCCCAGTCTCTATTCCAACTTGTTTGTGTTTTTTAAAAAAACAGGAATTATAATATAATATGCATTCTTTACTGCACGTCATCTTTTTTACTTAACAGTGTATCTTGGAGATGACGAAGTAGAAGGCTTAAAGTAATACTCTTAAGTATCTTGAAACTACCTTCGAACTTGACAGAGTAGCTATTCGAAGTTTTTAGGTTATGTATGTTCTCACAAGACTGATTATCGCCAGAAGAGATCTCTGTAGCTACTTAGTCCGGATTTTTTTTTTTTTCCCTCACCATGGGATAGGAAAGGAAGCTCTATTAACAGCCTGACTTCCAAATAGAGACTAAATGTAAAGAAAGATTATCTCTTTGGATGACTGATGGAGCAAAGAAAACCAGAGACCTTGAGATCTGAACAAATGGTCATTGCAACTCCATGTCATTGATCAAGTCAAGAAAGGTATCCAGCCATTACCATGTGAAAGAAAATGAAGCACAGCCTGTCCACACGTGGTTAGCAGTAGCAACCTGGTAGTTTCTCTCCTCAGAAGGTTTTAAAAGCTAGACAACAAAGAAAAATCAAATGAAAAAATTTTAAGGCTGCTGTCATAGTACTTTAAAAAAAAAAACATGAAATCTGTAGAAATAAGTAAAATGAAAGATGTATGAGACTTCTACACTGAAAACTATAAAACATTATTTAGGGAAATTAAGTAAAGCTGAAGAGATAAATAAAGAGTAGTCCCCTGCTTAAGGGCAGAGGACACATTCTAAGACCCTCAGTGGATTCCTGAAAGCTTGGGTAGTACTGAGCCCTGTATATGCTATATTTTTACTTGTGAATATATACCCATGGTAAAGTTTAATACTGTAATGGAAGTTATGAGAATGTGGTCTCTCTCTCTCTCTCTCAAAATATCTTATTGTCTATAATATTTTCGGAGTGTGGGTAACTGAAACTCTGGAAAGTGAAACTTTGAGTAAGTCGGGGTGGGGTCTTACCATGCTCAGATCTCTTCAGTCTCTGTGCCTTGTTCAGAGATTGGGAGACTCAATATTGTAAAGTCATCAGTTCCCTCAAGATTGATTTATAGATTTAGAGCAAACCCACTTACAGTCCCCAGCCAGATTTTTGTTTCCGTTTTGCCACTTGAGAAGCTGATTACAGCCACTGTTTATATGGTTAATGCAAAGAGATAAGAAAAGCTGAGACAATTTTTAAGAACAAAAAGGCCAGAGGACTCACATGACCAGTTATCCAGACTCACCACAAAGCTGTAGTGTGGTGTTAGCACAAGGATAGGCAGATAAACCCGTGGAACAAAAGAGAGGGTTCAGAAGCAGTCTAACACATATATTGTCACCTGATTTATGACAGAGGTAATCTTTTCAATAAATGGCATTATGTCAACTGGATATCCACATGGAAAAAAATGAATCTTGGCCTCTGCTATCACCCTACATAAGAAATAATTCCAAAAGGATTATAGATCTAAATGTGAAGGGTTGAACCAGAGAGCTTTTAGAAGAAAACAGGAGAACATTTTTATGATCTTGGGATAGCCAAAGATTTCTTAAACAGGCCACAAAACATACTAACCATAAAGGAAACAAGTGATAAGTTGGATTTCATTAAAACAAAAAATTCTTTTTATCAAAAGATACCACAATGATTGAAAGACAAGTCACAGAATGAAAATCTGTATTTGCAGGGCATATATTAATATTTGACATAGGAAATGTATCTTGGATATATGAAGAATCCCTATAAGTCAAGAAAAAGGCAAGCAACCTGTTAGAAAAACATAGGCAAAAGACTTGAATTTCACAAGAGGATATTCAATGGTTGATGAATGTAAGAAAAGGTGTTCAACTTCACTAGTCATCAAGTAAATGCAAAGTCAAGTCACAATGTCATTATACTACAAGAATGGCTAAAATTAAAATGACAGACATGTCAAGTGTTGCTAGGATGTGGAGCAGCTATAGTTCTCATATACTACTGCTGGGACTGTAAATTGTACAATCTCTTTGGAAAACCATATTTGCTGAAATGGAAAACTGTATTTGCTGAAATGGAACTATACAAAAGGCACGTACAAGAATGTTTATAGCAGTGCTGTTTTTTTTTTTTTTTTTTGAGACGGAGTCTCACTCTGTCTCCCAGGCTGGGGTGCAGTGGCGCGATCTCGGCTCACTGCAAGCCCCACCTCCCGGGTTCCCACCATTCTCCTGCCTCAGCCTCCCGAGTTGCTGGGACTACAGGCGCCCGTCACTGCACCTGGCTAATTTTTTTTGTATTTTTTTAGTAGAAACGGGGTTTCACTGTGTTAGCCAGGATGGTCTCGATCTCCTGACCTCATGAACCGCCCGCCTTAGCCTCCCAAAGTGCTGGGATTACAGGCGTGAGCCACTGCGCCCGGCCTAGCAGTGCTATTTTTTGTTTTGTTTTGTTTTTTAGAGACAGGGTCTTGCTACGTTGCCCAGGCTGGAGTAGAGTGGCTATTCACTGATGGAATCATAGTACACTGTAACCTCAAGGTCCTGGGCTCACGCGATTCTCCCACCTCAGTCTCCAGAGTAGTTGAGACTACAGGCGTCTCTGTTTACAGTGCTTTTCTTAGTAGTCTCACCTGGAAATAATCCAATGAACATCTATAGTATAATGAATAAATACATGATGGCATATTCATACAATGATGTCACACAGCAAATGAGAATTAACAATCTACAACTGTACACCACACTATGGATGGATCTCAGACATCATGTCAGACAGAAGAGTTTACACAGTTCATGCTATATGATGCCACTCCTATAAAGGTGAGACTTACAGTGTTATAAATCACGAAAGCGGTTCCCTTTGGGGGAAGTAGTGACTAGAAGGGTATATGACAGGGCTCCTGGGGTTCTGGTAATACTCTTTTTCTTGCTGTGGGTAGTGGTTAACTGTGGGTATTCACTTTGTGAATCATCTTTGAGCTGTACACTGGGGATTTTTCTGTTTGTAAGTTCTACTTGAATTAAAGAATAAGTGCAAATATGTGCATTTATATACTACATGTACATGTATTACACATGTGAGTAGATATGGTTATATTTATATACATACATATTTGCATATATTTGCATGCATATGCATACAGATACACACACATGCGTGTGCGCACCCACACACTCTCTCTCTCTCTCTCTCTCTCTCTAAGAGCTATGTCCTGAACAGACCACAAGATGGAGATGTAAGTCAACAGAAGGGCAAACTTAGCCCATCCCAGTTGCTAGATTTTGAAAAGTTAGGGTTTTTCTCCCTATAAAGTTAAGACAGAATGTTAAGATTGCTGGTATTAATACTGCTTAACTTTAGGAAAGGAATTATATCACCCTCCAGTTCTTTCTGTAACGGTTTCCCTCTTCCCTCCATGTCCCTGTAAGCCAGTTTGTCATTTTTATATTTCCCCCGTAATGACTCTGTAGGTTCTGCCCGATCCCCACTTCATTTATTCTTGTTTCTTTCTCTCTCTTTCGCCTTCTTTTCTTGCCTTTTTCTTTCATATTTTTCTCTTGTATTTCTCTTTCCCTCTGGAAAAATATGCATGATTTTGGCATTTCTTGATTTTAGTTTTTATCTCCTATTCTTAATTTTTTTTTTAACGAAGAGGGATGCTTTTAATACCTCTTTCTAATAGTTTCTACTTAAGTTGTCATTTATTTTGTAGATCTTTGTTTTCCTATTTTCTTCCCTTTCCGTATTCCCTCCCTGCTTCCATCATGGGGAAATGACCCTGTAATTGGGTTTAAAATAGGCAATCCACATGATACATGCACATTATAACAAGTCAAAAAAGCCAGGCGCAGTGGCTCACGCCTGTAATCCCAGCACTTTGGGAGGTTGAGGCAGGCGGATCACGAGGTCAGGAGATCGAGACCAGCCTGGACAACATGGTCTCTACTCTCTACTAAATACATCTCTACTAAAAATACAAAAATTAGCCGGGCATGGTGGCACGCGCCTGTAATCCCAGCTACTCAGGAGGCTAAGGCCGGAGAATCGCTTGAACTCGGGAGGCGGAGGTTGCTGTGAGCCAAGATTGCGCCACTGCACTCCAGCCTGGCGACAGAGCGAGAGTCCGTGTCAAAAAAGTCAAAACATACCAATGTGTAACTCAAAAGTTCATACTCTCTCTCCCTTTCTGCCCCTCCAGTGCCTTTCTCCTCAAGTAACCAGGATTGGCTGTTTGGAGTTTCCCTTCCCCACATTTATCTATGCTTATACAACTATAAATTTACAAACATACATACCTAAAAAAAGTTTTCCTTTCCTATTTTTAAAGAAAACAGAACTGTACTATACATTTTCCTCTGTAATTTTACTTTTCTTCACTTAAATTTGGACATTCCTCCAAGTTGATGTGTCTGACAAATTCGTCAGTTGTATTCCACAATATAAATATGCAGGCATTTTTCCAGCCACTCCCCATTTGATGGACGTTGGGTTGTTTAGTTTTTTGCCATTACAACGAGTGCTGCAGTAAATATTCTTAAAGACCATGGCTTCTATTTCTTTAGCAATAGAGTCCTCAAAGTGGGGTTACTGGGACAAAAGGTATGAGTGTTAAAGATGTAATAGGTACCACCATGTCTTTTTCTTAAAAGTTGTGGCATTTACATTCCCTTCAGCAATCTGTGTGAGGGCCCCTTTCCTTAAACCTTAGCTGTCAGTGGGCGTTACAGAACTTGATGGATTTTGTTTTGTTGCTCTGATGGGTAAAAAATGGTATCTTCTTTTGAATTGCAGCCCTTAACTACTGGTATAGTTGTGACTTTTGGTATGGAAAATAAAAACATTCTTTGCCCCTGCATGTATTAATTTTAAGTCTTTAAAAAAATCATTTGAGAATTGAAAAAGAAGGAAAACTCCAGTTTCTGAATAAACGGGAAGAAGAAAGTAGAATTACCTAATCACGCTGTATTTTAGTTCATTATGTTAATTTTAATTTTAATTTTTTTGAGACAGGGTCTCGCTCTGTCACCCAGGCTGGAGTGCAGTGGTGAGATCACAGCTCACTGCAGCCTGCAACTCCTGGGCTCAAGTGATCCTCACAACTCAGCCTCTCAAGTAGCTGGGACCACAGGCACATGCCACCATGCCTGGCTAATATATTTTTATTTTGTAGAGACAGGGTCTCTCTCTGTTGCCCAGGCTGGATTCTAACTCCTGGGCTCAAGCAATCCTCCTGCCTCAGCCTCTTTTTTTTTTTTTTTTTTGAGACGGAGTCTCGCTCTGTCGCCCAGGCCGGACTGTGGACTGCAGTGGCGCAATCTCGGCTCACTGCAAGCTCCGCTTCCCGGGTTCACGCCATTCTCCTGCCTCAGCCTCCCGAGTAGCTGGGACTACAGGCGCCCGCCACCGCGCCCGGCTAATTTTTTGTATTTTTAGTAGAGACGGGGTTTCACCTTGTTAGCCAGGATGGTCTCGATCTCCTGACCTCATGATCCACCCGCCTCGGCCTCCCAAAATGCTGGGATTACAGATGTGTGAACTATGCTTGGCCTCATTACGTTACTTTTTTTTTGTTTTTGTTTTTTTGAGATGGAGTTTTGCTCTTGTTGCCCAGGGCAGAGTACAATGGCGTGATGTCAGCTCACCGCAACCTCCACCTCCCAGCGATTCTCCTGCCTCAGCCTCCCGAGTAGCTGGGATTACAGGCACGCACCACCACACCTGGCTAATTTTTGTATTTTTAGTAGAGACAGGGTTTCACCATGTTGGCCAGGCTGTTCTTGATTTCCTGACCTCTTGATCAGCCCATATCGGCCCCCCAAAGTGCTGGGATTACAGGCGTGAGCCTGTTAATTTTAAAAAATGTTTCCAACTTGTGTTTTCTTTAAGTAAAAATTTTTAAGAAATTAAAAAGCCTGTTCTTGTTTGTTGAAAATAAAAGTTATTTCTCCCTCTTTCTCTTCTCTGTTTACCGAGCAATTTTTGATATATTACAGTCACCCCTAAGCATACATGAGTGTTGGTTCCAGGACGTGCATGTAGGATGCATGTGGAGTGGCGGGTGGGGGCGGTCTTAGGCCTCAACGCTCCCATGTGTGTTTGACTTTTTTCTTTCTGATACGGTGTTATAACTCAAGCGATTACTTTTTTGGTTTACAAATGAGGAGACTGATTCTTAGAGAAGTCGTTGTGCCCATGGTGAATCAATGGAAGAGAGAGAACTAGAACCCAGGTCCTCTCATCCTTTGCCCTGGGTTTTGTCCCTTGGGCTTTGTCTCTCGTACTTTTGAAATCTTACCATGATTCCCTTTCAGGGGCCCTCATGTATTCCTTTCCCACTGGCTTTGAATACTTCGTCTTTCACACTTGCAGGGACAGTATTACCCTGTTCGTAGGGACAGTATTCCACCAGGTGTTCAAGTGTGGCATATTGCTAAGTTTGCCTTGTGTCATTCTGTGGAAGGAGCAAAGGATTTGGTATTAGACAACCAGGGTTTGAGTTTTAACTACACATCATTGTCAGGAAAATGAAGGTAACCATGATTCCTCAAACTGTTGTGAAGTTCAAATGAGATAAATCTATGTGGAGGCTCTTTGTAAACTGGAAAGTGTTCTATAGACATTAATGAACGATAGCACTCACCGTCTTAGCAGAAGGGAGTACAGAGATAGCAGGCCATGTGGGGATGTCTTTCTATCTTGCACAAAACAACTCTGGACCATACATGATAGTGTATAGTGAAATGCCACTTTGTGTGATATGAGCCATAAATGATCTGGGAGATTAGAAAATGGAGAAATCTGGGCCGGGCACGGTGGCTCACGCTTGTAATCCCAGCACTTTGGGAGGCTGAGGCGGGTAGATCATGAGGTCAGGAGATCGAGACCATCCTGGCTAACACGGTGAAACCCCGTCTCTACTAAAAATACAAAAAATTAGCTGGGTGTGGTGGCGGGCGCCTGTAGTCCCAGCTACTCAGGAGGCTGAGGCAGGAGAATGGTGTGAACCCAGGAGGTGGAGCTTGCAGTGAGCCGAGATCATGCCATTGCACTCCAGCCTGGGCAACGGAGTGAGACTCCGTCTCAAAAAAAAAAAAAGAAAAGAGAAAATGGAGAAATCAATGTGGGCAGTGGGGGGAGGCTGAGAAGACCATGTATTTATACCATGTGTTTTCTGTCTTGCGTACTTTCTTGAATCCTGCTTTTTCAAGGGTGGTAGTTTCTATACCAGTCTGCACATTGGTGCCCAGCTGATTGCATAAAAGTCACCTGAGGGAGCTTATACATTCCTGGGCCCTGCTCACAGAGGGAAAGGATGACATAGTTAAAAGCGTGGGTGTTGGCCAGGCGCAGTGGCTCACGCCTGTAATCCCAGTGCTTTGGGAGGTCAAGGTGGGTGGATCACTTGAGGTCAGGAGTTCGAAACCAGCTTGGGCAACATGGTGAAACCCCATCTCTACCCAAAATACAAAAAATTAGCCAGACATGGTGGTGCATGCCTGTAGTCCTAGCTACTAGGGAGGCTGAGGTGGGAGAATTGCTTGAGCCCAGGAGGCCGAGGTTGCAGTAAGTCAAGATTGTGCCACTGCACTCCAGCCTGGGTGACAGAGTGACACCCCATCTCAAAAAAAAAAAACAGAGTGAGACCCCATCTCAAACAAACAAAAACAAAACAAAACAAAACAAATCAAAATAGGTGTCCATCTTGATAATTTGCTTTCTTAGATATGAAGTAGATGAATTGGTGTAATAATAGCAAATCAAGGTTATTGAGGTGGAAGTGATGGCTATGTAGGCAGTCCTTGACTTTTGTATGTCTTGAATGGTATGCATTATTCATTGACACCCTTTGCCATGGTCTGAATAGTAGTGTCCTCCCAAGATTCATATGTTAGAACCTAATCTCCAGTGTGATAGTATTAAGAGGTGGGACCTTCGGGGAAGTAAGTCATGAGGACTCTGCCCTCAAGAATGGGATTAGTGCCCTTATAAAAAAAAGATTGAAGGGAGCTTCCTTGCCCCTTTGGACATATGAGAACATGTAGAAGGCACCACCCATGGAGCAGAGAAAAAGTCCTCACCAGACACCGTATCTGCTTATGCCATGCTCTTGGACTTCCTGGCCTCCAGAACTGTGAGCAGTAAATTTCTGTTGTTTATAAATTGCCCAGTCTGAGGTATTTGGTTATAGCAGCCTGAAAGGACTGAGACAGAAATTGATACCGCAAGTGGGTAGAAATTTGTACATCATGTGTTGTTTTTCCTCCTTGTGTATCTTCTTGAATCCTGTCTTTTTAGAACAGTAATTTCCATATCAGTCCGCACATTGGCACCCAACTGGTTGCATAAAAGTTACCCGAGGGAGCTTACACATTCCAGAGGGAAAAGATGCCAGAATTGAAAATGTGGGTGTCCATCTCAAAATTTGTTGTCTTTAGACATGAGTTAGATGAATTGGTATAATAAACAGTAAGGTCACTGAGGTGAAAAATGGACGATGTAGGTGGTCCTTGGCTTTTGTGCATCTTGAATGCATAAGCATTATTCATTGACACTCTTAAATGGCCTTTTAATGCCTAATTTGGATTTTTGTATATCAGCTGCCAAACACACATTTCTATTAATATTATTGATGGTGGCACTGCTTGCCAGCTGATAATTTTGTTTCACTGAACTCACATCTTTGTTCATAGAACAGTATTGATTTGCACAATTGGTTGAATATTTTATTGCATTTTACCTTTACTTTATAAAATGAGTGAGAATGGAAACAAGTACAGTAAAGTGAAAACAGTAATGTTGAGACAAAGATGGAAATCATTAGGTATGCCGAATGCCTAAAGCAAATGTAGATTGCTCATCTTGACTGGACACTCAACGGATTTATCATAACTGTGTTTGGTTGTGAAGAACCAACTGGAAGAAGATGGAGAGTTGTTATTGCAGATGGTGTCAAAAAGGCATGGCTCTAGGAACACCAACTCCCTCATATTATATAAGTTCTGTTGACTTTTGCGCATTTGTTTCTCTTTAAATATATATATGTGTGTGTGTGTATATATATATGTACATATATATTTAATTGACATATAAGTGTACATATTTATGGGGTACAGTGTGATTTTTTTTTTTTTTTTTGAGATGGAGTCTCGCTCTGTTGCCCAGGCTGGAGTGCAGTGGTGCAATCTCGGCTCACTGCAACCTCTGCCTCCTGGGTTCGAGTGATTCTCCTGCCTCAGCCTCCCAAGTAGCTGGGACTACAGGCACATGCCACCATGCCTGGCTAATTTTTTGTATTTTTAGTAGAGATGGGGTTTCACTGTGTTAGCCAGGATGGTCTCGATCTCTTGACCTTGTGATCCACCTGCCTCGGCCTCCCAAAGTGCTGGGATTACAGGTGAGAGCCACCGAGCCTGGCTTACAGTGTGATATTTTGATACATGTATATAATGTGTAATGATCAAATCAGGGTAATTAGCATACCCATAACCTCAAACCTGTATCATTTCTTTGTGTTGATAACATTCATAATCCTCTCTTCTAGCTATTCAAAAAACTGTAAATTATCATTTGCTGTATTCACCTTAGTATGCCACAGAACACCAGAACTCACTTCTGCCATCCAGCTGTTCCCTGTCTCCCTTAACCAACCTTTCCTTCCCCCAACCTCTTGCCCTTCCCAGCCTCTGGTAACCACTATCCTACTCACTGCTTGTATGATATCAACTTTTTTTTTTTGAGATGGAGTCTCGCTCTTTCGCCCAGGCTGGAGTGCAGTGGCGCGATCTCGGCTCACTGCAAGCTCCGCCTCCTGGGTTCACGCCATTCTCCTGCCTCAGCCTCCTGAGTAGCTGGGACTACAGGCACCCGCCACATGCCCAGATAATTTTTTTTTTTTTTTTTTTTTTGGATTTTTAGTAGAGACGGAGTTTCACCGTGTTAGCCTGGATGGTCTCTATCTCCTGACCTCGTGATCCACCTGCCTCAGCCTCCCAAAGTGCTGGGATTATAGGCGTGAGCCACCGTGCCCGGCCGATAGGAAACTTTTTTAAGCTTCCTCACAGGAGTGAGAACCAGTGCATTGTGTTTCTAAGCATGTTGCATGCATCATGTAATAGAGAAGCTGCCTGCAATAGTTGGCCCTCCTGGACTGTTGTAACTAAACTGTAACCAGCAGATGGCTCTCAGTCACCATAAATATGGTAGAGCAGCTCATTCATCTTTTACTTGGAATTCTTGTTTTTTGTGTATCACCCCTTTTTGCCCCTCTTCTACTTTTAAGGTACCATGATTTGCAAACATTTAAGGTACAGAAGTGTTCCTTTTGGTTTTGTTTTTTGCTTAAGATGGCCTGTGTGACTCTCAGGAGCAGTGCCCTGGGGTTTTGAAATTTGAGTTGGAGACCCAAAAAAATGATGGCCTTTTCTACCCTGTATTTCTATTCTTCTGTGAACTGTTTCATCAAGGTTTTCATTTAGTGTTAAAACTTTTTATTGGTAAATTTGGCAAGCAATGAATAGGAAAAAATAGGATTGCTTTTAAATTAGAACAATATTTGATTGTAATAGATTTTAAAGGTGCT
Source organism: Homo sapiens (assembly GCF_000001405.40). Taxonomy (NCBI): domain Eukaryota; kingdom Metazoa; phylum Chordata; class Mammalia; order Primates; family Hominidae; genus Homo; species Homo sapiens. The sequence goes on along the minus strand of NC_000017.11, from coordinate 9,521,867 downwards.
ATAGTGAAATTTCCTTGGATATTATGTAAGGAAGATATTTTCCTTGTTCTGATTCTTATTTGTTCTGGACTAATACTCAATGGAGATTATTCAATTTGAACAAAAAATATTTTGAGTATCAACTTTGCAGTCGGCACAATGTTAGGCATTTATTGTCCCTTGAGTATTAGCTCCATGAGGTCAGGTATTTATGTCTCTCTTGTTCACTTACAAGTCACTAGATTAGTGCCTGATACATAGAAGATATTCAGTGTTTGTCAGATGGATGGATGGATGGAAGGGTGGATGGGATACAGAAAAGAGTAGGACAGAGTATTGGACTGAAAGATGTTAACAGTTTAGTAAATATGGCTACAGATATTCCTACATAATCATGATCTCTTGAAGGACCAGTTTAACTCTGGGATTGTTATTAAGTGCTGTGTTGAAAATTGAAAGGTAATGAAAAAATTTCCTTTTCCTGAAGTCGTGTCAATTTCTTCAAGTCACATAGGTTTGGCAATCTTTATTCCCTATATCCAGTCTATTCATCAACACTTGTGGAATTTCCCTTGAGCCACTATGTTAATTGTCCCTTTCTCTCTGTTCCCTCTTGTCACTTCCCTTGTCCAGACTCCTGTTACCTCCCACCTAAATTACCACACTGGCCTTTTGGCCTGCCTCTCTGACTGCAGCCTCTCTTCCGTGTAATCCAGTCTGCGTATTGTTGCCAGACTTCGTCTCTAAAGAATTTCTGTCAAAGAATCTATTTCTAATTGAAATTTGAGCCTCTGTGCATCTTTATATTCACAGAAAGGAACTACCAAAAAAAGTTCTGAAAAAGGAATTACCCTTTTATATCATAGGAGTGTTTTCAAATCTATAGGCAAGTCTAGTTACGAAGCTTTGCAGACTCAGCTCACTCACACCCCAGAAATATCTTCCCTCATCCTAACTGCAAACCTCCCTGTGGTCTGTGAATGCCCAAACACTGATATTTTTTCCAGACAAAACAAACATTTTATATAGTCACTTTGACATCTTTTTGAAACGCTAAGAAAGGCTAAAGAAAGCTACTTCTTGGAATTCACTGCTATTTCAATTCTGTATTCAGTTGATAAGAACGCCCTTCCTATGAACTCTAACAAGCTTCAACTTCATTTGTCTGTAGAAAGACATGGATTGTCTGTGCACCCCCCCGATATTATCATAATTTAAATAATGTACATCATTTTCTTTGGGGGATGAAAATGAAATCATTTTATGTCTTTAGAAGTGATTGTGAAACTTTTTGGTTAAATCTTGATAAGACAAGATATCTAACGTATTTACTGATGTGGCATTTATTTGATAAGTTTCATTTATTTGAAAAGTTTCATCTTGAAATAATATGGATAGAAATCATTTATTAAAAAAATTCAAGTCTGTTCTAAGCTCAGAAGCATAGTATTTAGCATTTCCTTTCTTTAATTTCCTTTGCAGAGGAAAAATGCCTCTTACTTGTCATTTCCAAAAGTGAGGCTGAGCTACAAGGTGTTTTACTGACCAAATTCCCTTTCAAGTAATTCTCTCCATCTGCTCAAACAGTATCAGTCTTTGCTGCTGAAGTCTTGAAGGCAGGTAGCAGTTGATTAAGTTTTGCTTTGCTTGATTTTTAAAAAACATTTCAAGATAAAAATGTTAAATGCTTCTCTCATTTTGTTTTTAAGAAAGAGAGCTTAAAAACCTCAATGGTTTTCCTAGTTCTGGTTCATAAACATTTACTGAATGCTTATGCTCTGGCATATTCCGAGGCTCTGTGTTTTGGTCCTGGGGATATAAACATAACTGTCATGTGGCCTCTTCCCTCACAGAGCTCATAATTTAGGAAGGGAGACAGATGAGTAAATAACTAACTACAATCCCGCTTGATAAATGCCACGTTAGAGGTTGTGAACATAGCACCATGGGAATACCAGCGAGTGATTGATTCAAGGGAAGGGGGATGGGGCTAGGGATCAGGAAAGCCTAAGCAGCAGAATTGACATTTGAGTTGAACCTTAGGGGAATGAATAGAATTTTGCCAGATGGACAAAGGGGGTGGGGGTGGGGACACTCCAGACTCATGCAAAAACATGAGAGTGTGAAAGTTTTGCCTTTGTCTGAGCGGTGGGGAGCAGTCTGGAGGGCCGAAGTAGGGTGTGGAAGCGGGGATGTTGAGGAGATGATGTCGTAGAGAGATCGTAGCCATGTTGTAGCTTCTGGGGAGTCAGGGAAGTTTTTGAATAGGGAAGTGATAGGGTGAGATCTCTGTTTTAAGAACAATAATTCTTGCAGCAGAGTGTAGGATGATTTGAATGAGGGTAACTGGGGACAAGGAGACCGATCAGAAGGCTGTAACCATGTTGTACATGAGAGGTGATGGGTGTCTGAGCCAAGGCAGTACCAATGGGGAGGGCAGTCAGGGCTTGGATGTGAGAACCATCTCTGAGGGAGGCCTTGTTTGTTGATGAGATGTGGTTAGAAGGGAGACCAAAAAAAAAAAAATGGCTTGGATGACTTGGGAATACAGTGATGCTGCTCACCAAAATAGAGAGCGTACGAGAAGAAGCAGCTTATGGGGTGAGAGTCATGAATTTGATTTTGGATATGTTGAGTTTGGGGAGGAATACCCAGTTGGAGATTTTTAAATGAAAAGACACAAATGCAGATAAAGAACCTGTAGGGAGATATTATGGGTAGAGACAAATTTGTAAGTCTGTTTAGCACCGTGATTTTCAATCAGGTAAGGGGTGGGAGGACGTGCTTTGCCTGAATGTTTTTATATGTGGGGTTTCTTTTTAACTATTTGTGTGCTACTCCCCCCAAACCCTCCAGATTCTGGTATTGTCCTGCTAGGAAGGAGAGCACGTCCCTCCCCACCCCTAGTTCAGAATTCACCACCATAATGACTCAAGGGAATGTGTCTGATTTCATATGTGCTGGGCATAGAATGAATGTCTTTAAGCATTGCTAGCATTTATTCTTTTTTTTTTTTTTTTGAGACGGAGTCTCGCTCTGCCGCCCAGGCTGGAGTGCAGTGGCACGATCTCGGCTCCACTGTAACCTCTGCCTTCCGGGTTCAGGCGATTCTCCTGCCTCAGCCTCCCGAGTAGCTGGGATTGCAGGCGCCCACCACTACGCCCAGCTAATTTTTTGTATTTTTAGTAGAGACGGGGTTTCACCATGTTGGCCAGGCTGGTCTTGAACTCCTAACCTCGTGATCTACCCGCCTCGGCCTCCCAAAGTGCTGGGATTACAGGCATGAGCCACCACGCCTGGCTGCTAGCATCTGTTCCTACAGCCTGAAGCCCCTAGCACAGATAGACTTGCCCAGAGAAACACAATACCGTGAGAGGAGCAGATCTAAGTCGAATTCCCAAGGAACCCACATTTCAGAGGCAGATGGGGGAAGAGGTACCTGCAAATTATAGAGAAGGAGCTGTCAGTGGGAGAGAGTGGTGTGGAGGAAGCCAAGAGAGGAGAGGATTCATGGAAAGGGGGATAATAAGCTTAGCTGTGACACATGAGGCCTGGAAGAGGGGTCTGGTAAGGCCTGGAGGAGGGGTCTGGTAAGACCTGGGAAGAGTGTTTGGCAGTGAGGAGGCTGTGAGTGAGAAGATTTTGGTCGTGCAGGGGTAGAAGTTGGCTTGCAGTGGGTTGAGGAGTGAACGGGGGTCAGGAAGTGGAGTTGGTGAGCATAGGTTATTCTTCATGGAAGTTTGGCTGCAAATAGGAGAGAAAGTCATTGCTTGAGGATTTATAGGATGGAGAAGAACTAGTAGAAAGTTAAAATTATGAGATCCTGGGATAATAGGAGGATAAGTTATTAGAACAAATGGAGGGTCACTGTAGCTACCTACCTCGGAATTAATTCTAAATCTAGCCCCCCCAAATTTTGCCCACTCTCCACTCTTACATCACACATGTTTATGTGGTACACATTCCTGGTCCTGGAGACTCATTCGTGTTTTTGCCTTTTCTTGGAATGCCTTACCATCTCTTCCTTTCTTCACTAAACCTCACGCATTCTTCAAGGCTGCCTTAAGTCTCTTTGCCTTTTTTTTTTTTTTTTTTTTTTTACAATAGGGGTCTTGCTTTGTTGCCCAGGCTGGTCTTGAACTCTTGGGCTCAAACAGTCCTCCTGCCTTGGCCTTCCAAAGTGCTGGGATTACAGGTGTGAACTACTGTGCTCAACCTCCTTACCTTTATGAAACCTCTGAAGTGGTAGAAAGGAAATGCCTTGGGTTAAGAATCACAAGATGTGGGCTGAACCCTTAGCTCTGCCACTAGGTGGGTGGCCCTGAGGAAGCCACTGGATGTCTCTGCCTTAGTTTTCTTGTCAGTAATACCTGTGCTGACTTACACACAGGGCTGTGTGCGATTCACATGAGATAATGTTTGTGAAATGCCTTTGAAATCACAAAACATATTATAGCACCAATGTGTGATACTGTAATTTCCTGACAACTCTCCTTATTGATTTCATTCATTTATTTATGGGTTTTGCTGAAAAAATAATTAATTCCATGTTTTTCTTTCAGTGTCCATTATGCCAGCCATAATGTGATAAAGGATGGAGTGATAAGACCTAGTCCCTGCCCTTGTGGAGCTTATAGTCTAGCGTGGGAGACAGAAAACAAACAAATGCATAATGGCTGGTGACTTCAGTGCTATAAAGAAAAATTAAGCAAGATAAGGAGGAGTGGGGTGAAGGAGTGACAGAGACAGATGTTATTTTAGATGGAGGAGTCAGGGAAACCTCTCTGAGGAGACAACATTTGAGAGGAGATTGAAAAAATCTAATTCACAATTTGCAACAATAGGAAATCATCTTTTGCAGGATTAAAAAGAATATCTGCTTTCTCCCACCAAGATGAGTCTTCCCCACTTACTCCCCAATGTCACTAATAACAAGGGTATCATATCCTCAAGTGTTGGGCCAGAAAGAAGGTTGAAAACCATTGGCCCACTTAGTTTGCTTGTTTTATGGGTGAGAAAACCAGAGCTGAAGAGGTTTTTGGAATTGCCCAGGAGGGATACAAAGCTAGATGCTCTCTTATTTTAACTAGTGTGCTTCATGTTGGTGAGTTTCTCATTTCAATTTGATTATAAACTCCTTGAAAGCAAGAATTATGTTTTCATATTATTTTTCGTATTTTCCTAGTACCTAGAACAGTAATAATAGGCACCACCCCAAATGTTAAATTGAACATAAAACCAAATGAAAAGAGAATCGGGTGTACATCCAGGGATACCTATGATCTCATGATCTTACCTGCTTTTCTGAGTGAAGGTCAGTGAGTGAAATTGCTGGATTTCCTCATAGGTTTGGGGCATCAGGAAAGTAGAAACACCAAACAAACCAGAGAGAAGTGGAGTTAGACAGTTCAGCCTTGGGAATCAGATAACCCTGGGAAATCCTTTCTATATATGTCTGTGGTGATGTATGTTTGATATTAGTATTAAATTGTGCCCATATTGTCACTTTTATTTTCTAACAGGTGTTTATTTTCTAACAGGTGTCTATATATATATATATATATATATATATATATATATATATATATATGACTGTGGTTCTAATGTGTCATTTTTGAGATTGTGAAAAAAATATTTTTACATTTTTTCCCCTTGAATAACAGCTTTTTAAAAGCATGCACTAGGGCTCACAGGAGCTACCAGTGACTGGTTCCAACATTAAGTTCAGAGGAGCAATAACACCTCAGGGGCAATATACTCATTTTGATGGTCATAGCTGGTTACTAATGCACTTTCAAAGTATCTTTACATACCTCTGACCCACTTGCATTTGCAGTAAACCATGGACAAATCCTGTGTAATTCCTGATTTGAAAAGTGGCTCTTGCAAGATGATATGAGAGTTGGGATAGGCTTTGAATGTGAATTTTCTTCTTTCCTTCCCTTTCCTATTGCATTCTTCCCCCTTCTTCGAAGGTACGTGAAATTGAATAATTATTATAGAGAAGAAATCCAAAATCTTGACATCTTGGCTATTTGGTGCCAATGGCATAAAGTAAGGCTTCCAGCTGGGCACAGTGGCTCATGCCTGTAATCCCAGCATTTTGGGAGGCCAAGGTGGGAGGCTTGTTTGAGCCCTGGAGTTCAAGACTAACTTGGGCAACATAGCGAGACCCCATCTCTACAAATAATAAAAATAATTAGCCAGGTGCAGAGGCACGCACCTGTAGTCCCAGCTACTCAGGAGGCTGAGGTGGGAGGATCCCTTGAGCTCTGGAGGTCAAGGGTGTGGTGAGAGATGATTGTACCACTGCACTCCCGCCTGGGTGACAGAGTGAGACCCTGTTTCAAATAAATGAATGGATGAATGAATGAATGAGAGAGAGAGAGAGAGAGAAAGACTTCAAAGAAACACACCTGTCGTTTTAGTAAAGTGGAAGAAAGTCATACTTCTGTTTGGCATGCTAATTAGTATACTTGAGACCAACTCTGTGCTTAAAATCTTAGTCTAAGGAATCAAAAATTTTCTTCCAGTTTTGCCTGGGTTTGTCTCTTGCTACATGAAATAGTCTTCCAAAGGCTTTAAAGTTCTAAACTAAAAGTGAAATTAATATAGCTTTTGTGATATACAGATTTATTTAAAATTTTTTAGTGCCTTCTGTGTAAAAAAATGCAATAATTGGTATTATGATAGTAGTTAACATCTTCCAAGTACGACATTAGACAGTTTGCACACATTTTACACATTGTTTCATCCCACCAGAATGCAAACAGCACCGATAACAAGAATCTATGCTTTGTATGGGTGGAGATTTTGGTCCATTTGTCTATATTCTATTTTTTCTTCATGCCCATTAATGAGAGCAATGCCGACTATATAATAACTACGAAGTAAATGTTTTTGGAATGAAAAATTATTGAATCCTCCAGCTACTTTCTGTTCATATGTTGCCAGTAGGTGATATGCTATTAGCTGTTCACTCCATATTGTGGGACAGCGTGTGTACAGCGAAGGGTGATTTTCAGTTTCTGCCTTCTGTCTAGTGGATATGCACCTTATCTATATAAAAGGTTAAATAATAGGGTAGCAATTGTTTCTGGATGATATGGGAGATGTGAACAAGGCTAGAAGAATTATAAATAATGGAGATATGAGTGAATATATATAAATCACCTGGAGCCGTGTCTGTACAGGGCAAATGCTTACTGCATGTTAACTGTTGTTATTGCTATTGTAACATCATTGTCATCATTTTGTTTTTTGTTTGTTTTTGTTTTGTTTTTGAGATGGAGCCTCACTTTGTTGCCCAGGTTGGAGTGCAGTGGCGCAATCTTGGCTCACTGCAACATCCGCCTCCTGAGTTCAAGCAATTCTTCCTGCCTCAGCCTCCCAAGTAGCTGGGATTACAGGCGCCCGCCACCATGCCTAGCTAATTTTTGTGTTTTTAGTAGAGACAGGGTTTTACCATGTTGGCCGGGCTGGTCTGGAACTCCTGACCTCAGGTGATCCACCTGCGTTGGCCTCCCAAAGTGCTGGGATTACAGGTGTGAGCCACCGCACCCAGCCTATCATTTTGTTTTAATTGACATATAATAATTATACATATTTATGGGGTACATAGTGATGTTTTCATACATGTAATATATAATGAGCCAGTCAGGATAATTAGCACATTCATAATCTCAAACATTTTTCATTTCTTTGTGTTGGGAACATTCTATATCGTCCTTCTAGCTACTGGAGACTTTATTGTTAACTGTAGTCATCCTACAGTGGTGAATAGAACACTCAAACTTATTCCTCCTGTCCAACTATAATTGTGTGTCCCTTAACAAATCTCTTGCTCTCCCCCTTCTCCCTACTCTCCCCAGTTTCTGGTGTGCTCTGTTCTACTTTTTACTTCTATGAGATCAACTTTTGTTTTTAGCTTCTGCGTATGAGTAAGAACATGCAGTGTTTAGCTTTCTGTTCCTGGCTTATTTTACTTAATATAATAACGTCCTCCAGCTCCATCCATGTTGCTGTGAATGGCAGGATTTTATTCTTTTTTATGGCTAAATTGTATTCCGTTGTGTATGTATACCACACTTTCTTTATCCATTCATCTGTTGTTGGATAGGTTGATTCCATATTTTGCCTACTGTGAATAGTGCTGCAGTAAACATGTGGGTGTGGATATCTCTTCAAAATACTGATTTTCTTTCCTTTGGATAAGTGCCCAGTAGGGGGATTGCTGGATCATATGGTAGCTCTAGTTATAGTTTTTTGGGGAACCCCCATACTGCTCTCCATAGTGGCTGTACTAGTTTACATTTCCACCATCTGTGTATAAGAGTTCCTGTTTCACAACATCCTCACAAGCATTTATTTTGTGTTTTTGATGATAGCCATTCTAAGTGGAATGAGATGATACCTCATTGTGATTTGGATTTGCAGTTCCCTGACGATTAGTAATGCTGAGCAATTTGTATATATTTGTTGGCGCATTTGTGTGTCATTTTTTGAGAAATGTCTGGTCAGATCATTTGTCTGTCTTTCACATATTTTGTGTATCTTTTTTTTTTTTTTTTTTTTTGGAAATAGAGTCTCACTATGTTATCCAGGCTTAAGTAATCCTCCCACCTCAGCCTGAGTAGCTGGGACTATAGGTGCATGCCACCATGCCTAGCTCATTTGCCCATTTTTCCATCCAATTATTATTATGATTTTTGCCATTGAGATATTTTGAGTTCCTTACATATTTTGCATATTAATCCTCTGTTGGATAAACAGTTTGCAAATATTTTCTCCTATAGATTGTCTTTTCACTCTATTGACTGTTTCCTTTGCTGTGCAGAAGCTTTTTAGTTTGTTGTAATCTCATTCGTTTCTTTTTGCTTTTGTTGCCTGTGCTTGTGAGGTCTGACTCATAAAATCTTTTCCCAGATCAACATCCTGAAGTGTTTTCCTTGTTTTTGCCTGGTACTTTTATGGTTTTGGGTTTTACATTTAGGTCTTTGAATCATTTTGAGTTGATTTTTTCCTTAGGGTGATAGATGGGTGTCCAGGTTCATTCTTATGCATGTGCATATTCAGTTTCCCAACACCATTTATTGAAGAGACTGTCTTCCCCCAGTGAGTATTCTTGGCACCTCTGTTAAAAATGAGTAGGCTTGGCTGGGTTCACATCTGTGATCCCAGCATTTTGGGAGGCTGAGGTGGGCAGATTGGAGTTTGAGGCCAGCCTGGGCAACATGGTGAAACCCCGTCTCTACAAAAATTATCTGAGTGTGGTGGCGTGTGCCTGTAATCCCAACTACTCAGGAGACTGAGGTGGGAGGCTCACTTGAGCCTGGGAGGCACAGGTTGCAGTGACTCAAGATTGCATCACTGCACTCCAGCTGGGTTATAGAGTGAGACTCTGCCTCGGAAAAAAAAAAAAAGATCAGTTGGCTCTAGATACATGGATTAATTTCTGGGTTCTCTATTCTGTTCCATTGGTCTGTGTGTTTGTTTTTATGTCAGTATCATAAAAACAGCATTGTAGTACATTACTACAGCTTTGTGGTATATTTTGAAGTCTGGTAGTGTGATGCCTCCAGCTTTGTTCTTTTTGCTTAGGATCGCTTGTCTCTTCAGGGTCTTTTGTGGTTCCATGCAGATTTTTAAGATTTTTTTCTATTGCTGTGAAGAATGTTATTGGTATTTTGATAGAGATTGCATTGAATCTGTAGATTGCTTTGGGTAGTATAGTCATTTTAACAATATTAATTCTTCCAATCCATGAGCATGAAATAACTTTGCCTTTGTCTGTATCCTCTTCAATTTCTTTCATCAGTGTTTTGTAGTTTTTCTTTTAGAGATCTTTCACCTCCTTGGTTAAATTTATTCCTAGGTAATTTTGGCGGGGGGATTGCTATTGTAAATGAGATTGTCTTCTTGATTTCTTTTTCAACTAGTTCATTATTTATAGAAACACCACTTACTGATTTTTGTATGTTGATTTTGTATTCTGCAACTTTACTAAATTTGTTTATCAGTTCTGAGAGGTTTTTTTTTGGTAGTCTTTAGGCTTTTCTCTCTATAAGATCATGTTTTCTGCAAACAGAAACAATTTGACTTTCTCCTTTCCAATTTTAATGCCATTTATTACTTTCTCTTGTCTGATTACCATGGCTAAGACTTCCAGTACTGTGTTGAGTAAGAGTGATGAGAGTGGGCATCCTTGTCTTCTAGTTCTCAGAGGCAAAGCTTTCACCTTTTCTGTATGATGTTAGCTGTGGGTTTGTCATATATGGCCTTTATTGTGTTGAGGTACTTTCCTTCTATACCTAGTTTATTGAGAGTTTTTAATTGAGATGTTGAATTTTATCAAATTTTTTTCTGCATCTATTCAGATTATCATGTGGGTTTTGTCCTTTATAGTTGATGTGATATATCACATTTATTGATTTGTGTATGTTGAACCATTCCTGCATTCATTGGATAAATTCCACTTGATCATGGTATATTATCTTTTTGATGTATTGTTGGATTTCATTTGCTAGTATTGAGGATTTTTGTGTGTATATTTATCAGGGATATTGGCCTGAACTTTTCTTTTTCTGTTGTATTCTTGTCTGCTTTTGATATCAGGGTTATTCTGGCCTCTTAGCATGAGTTAGGTAGAATACCCTCACTTCAATTTTTTGGAATAGTTTGAGAAGAATTGGTATGCATTTTTCTTTAAAGGTTTGGTAGAATTCAGTATGAAAGCCATTCAGTCCTGGACTTTTCTTTGTTGGCAGATTATATTATTGATTCAATCTCATTACTTGTTATTGGTCTGTTCAGGTTTTAAAAAAATTTCTTCTTGGTTCAATCTTGATAGGTTGTATGTGTCCAGGAATTTATCCATTTCCTCTAGGTTTTTTAATTTATTGGTGTAGAGTTGTTTGTAGTATCCTGTAATGATTCTTTGTATTTCTGTGGCATCCATTGTCATGTCTCCTTTTTCTTGCCTGATTTTATTTGTTTGAGTCATCTCTCTTTTTTTCTTAGTCTAGCTAATGGTATCTCAATTTTATCTTTACACAAAACCAACTTTTATTTTGTTGATTTTTTAAATACATTTTTTATTTCAATTTCATTTATTTCTCCTCTGATCTTTATTATTTCTTTCCTTTACTAATTTTGGGTTTGGTTTATTCTTGTTTTCCTAGTTTCCTTGAGATACATTGTTAGGGTATTTGAAATCTTTCTAGTTTTTTATTGTAGGCATTTATTGTTATACACTTGCCTCATAGTACTACTTTTGCTGTGTCCCATAGGTTTCGGTATGTTGTGCCTCTATTTTCATTTACTTCAAGGAATTTTAAAATTCCATTCTTAATTTTGTCCTTCACTCACTGGCTGTTCAAGAGCATGTTGTTTAATTTCCATGTGTTTGTATCATTTTGCATGTTCCTCATGTTATTGATATTTTCCACTGTGGTTAAATAGGATACTTGGTATGATTTCAATTTCTAAAAAAATTTTTGAGACTTGTTTTGTGTCCTAACATATGGTCAGTCCATGTTCTATGTGCTGTTGACAAGAATGTATATTCTGTAGCTGTTGGGTGAAATGTTCCATAAATATCTGTTAGGTCTGTTTGTTCTGTGGTGTAGTTTAAATATGATGTTTCTTTGTTGATTTTCTGTCTGAATGATCTGTCCAATGCTGAGAGTGAGATGTTAGAATCTCCAGCTATTACTCTATTTGAGTCTATCTCTCCCTTTAGAGCTAATAATGTTTGCTTTATATATCTGAGTGCTCTGGTATTGAATGTGTATATATTTACAGTTGTTACATTCTCTTGTTGAATTGATCCCTTTATTATTATGTAATGTCCTTCTTTGTCTAATTTCACAACTTTTGACTTGAAGTCTGTTTTGTCTGATATAAGTACAGCTACTCCTGCTTGCTTTTGGTTTTTGTTTGCGTAGAATATCTTTTTCCATACCTTTGCTTTCAGTCTATGTGTGTCTGTAGGTCAGGTGAGTTTCTTCTATGCAGCATATAGTTGAGTCTAGTCTTGTTTTTTTTTTTTTAATCTAGTTATCCAGTCTATGTCTTTTAATGAGATATTTAATTCACTTACATTCAAGGTTATTATTAATAGGTGAGGACTTATCTTGTCATTTTATTGTTTTCTGGCTGTTTTCTATATCCTTTGTTCCTTACTTCCTCTTACTGTTTATTTTTGTGGTTGGGTAGTGTTCTGAAGTGATAAGGCTTGATTTCTTTCTCTTTTTCCTTTGTATATTGGCTCTACCAGTGAGTTTTATAGTGTCACATGTTTTTATAATGGCTGTTATGATCTTTTCACTTCCAGATGTAATACTCCCTTGAGCACTTCTTGTAAGACTGGTCTAGTGGTGATGGATTACCTTCGTTTTTGCTTGTCTGTGAAAGATTTTATTTCTCTTTCATTTCTGGAGGATATCTTTGCTGCATGTAATATTCTTGGTTGGCAGATTTTTTTTTTCTTTTAGTACTTTGAACATAAAATCCTATTCTCTCTTGGTTGGTAAGATTTCTGCTGAGAAATCTGCTATTAGTCTAATGGGAACTCCCTCATAGGTGATTTGATGCTTTTCTCTTGCTGGTTTCTTTTTGTCATTGTTGTTTGTTTGTTTTTGAGATGGAGTCTTGCTCTGTTGCCCAGGCTGGAGTGCAGTAGCGTGGTCTCAGCTCACTGCAACCTCCGCCTCCCAGGTTCAAGTGATTCTCCTGCCTCTGCCTCCTGAGTAGCTGGGATTACAGGCACCTGCCACCATGCCCAGCTAATTTTTTTGTATTTTTAGTAGAGACAGAGTTTCACCATGTTGGCCAGGCTGGTCTTGAACTCCTGACATCGTGATCTGCCAGCCTCGGCCTCCCAAAGTACTGGGATAACAGGCATGAGCCACCACATCCAGTCCTTCTCTTGCTGTTTTTAGAATTCTTTGTCTTTGACTTTTGATAATTTGACTCTAATGTGCCTAAGAGGGGTCCTGTTTGAATGGAATCTATTTGGGATTCTTTTAGCTTCCTGGATCTGGAAGCTCCCAAGACTTGGGAAGTTTTCAGCTACTATTTCATTCAATGTTTTCTGTACATTTGCCCTTCTTTTCTCTTTCTGGAACACCTACAGTGTGAATATTTGTTCACTTAATAGTGTCCCATGAATTCTGTAGGCTTTCTTCATTCCATTTTACTTTTTCTTCCCCCCATCTTTCTGTGTTATTTCACAAGATCTGTCTTCAAGTTCAAAAATTCAGCCACGCATGGTGGCTCACACCTGTAATCCTGGCACTTTGGGAGGCCAAGGCGGGCAGATCACTTGAGATTAGGAGTTCGATACCAACCTGGCTAACATGGTGAAACCCCATCTCTACCAAAAAATACAAAAATTAGCTGGATGTGATGGCATGCCCCTGTAGTCCCAGCTACTCAGGAGGACTGAGGAGGGAGAATCACTTGAGCCCAGGAGGTGGAGGTTGCAGTGAGCTGAGATAATGCCACTGCACTCCAGCCTGGGTGACAGAGTAAGAACCTGTCTCCAAAAAAATAAATAAATAAAATTCTGCTTGGTCTAGTCTTTTGGTAAAGCTCTAGCTTGTACTTATTTACTTATTCATTGAATTCTTCCACTCCAGGATACCTGTTTTGTTCTTTTTTATGGTATTTATCTTCTTGTTGAATTTCTTGTTCAAGTCATGAATTGTTTTCCTGATTTCATCAAATTGTCTAGCTCTATTATCTTGTATCTCACTGTAAGATTACTATTTTGAATTCTTTTTCTGTCATTTTGTATATTTCTCTATCATTGGGGTCTATTACACAGGAATTATTGTATTCCTTTGGAGGTGTCATGTTTCCTTGCTTTTTCATGTTCGATGTATCCCTATGTTGATGTCTATGCATCTGGTGGAATAATTGCCTCTTCCAATTTTATGTGGTAGGTTTTGCAGGGAAAGAAATATTTGTATGAATGGATCTTGGGGTGTTGGTTCAGTGGGATGCATTGGCTTTGGTTCCAGGTGGGCATAGTAGTGTAGTTTTTGTGTAGTTTCTTTAACTGTAATCCATGCCAGTGACATTTGTGAGTGTCTCAGTGGCCTCAGCTGAGAGGCTTTGTGGTGGTGGTGGCATGACTTTGCCAGGGATGTGTTCACCGGGCTATTTGTCAGGTCAGCGATGCATGCGTTCACATGGTGGGTTGTCCAACTTGGGGTCTCACTTGCTGGGGTTGGGGTTGGTGCCCTTACTCTGGCTGAGGGCACAGTTGCTTGGTTGCTTGGCCAGTCTGGGAGTATGCCTGCCAGAGGTGGCCTGTTGGGCTGTTTCTCAGGTTTGGGACATGGGCACACTGCTGCTCAGCTCTCCTGTGGGGAATGCCTGCTGGGGACAGCCTACAGGGCTATTTCTCAGGCATGAGAGGTGGGCATAAGTCTGCTTGATGGCCCCGGGGGCATGTCTGCCAGGAGTGGCCTGAGGAGTTGCTTCTCAGACCCGGGATATGAACACAAGGCTGCTCGGCTGGCCTAGGGGAGTTGCCGCTAGGGGTGACCCATGGGCTGTTTTTCAGGCCTGAGATATGGACACATGGCTACTTGGCTGGCCTGGGGGTATGTCTGCCAGGGGCAGCCTGCAGGGTTGTTTCTCAGGCCCTGATTGAGGTGTGGGGCCTTTGGGCAGGCCGGGGGCATGTCTGTAGGGGGCTGCACTGCCCGACTGTTTCATAGATCCGGGATGCAGGAGCGTAGTCACTCTGCTAGCCTGTCAGTTGCTCAGGGCCTTCTGCTTGCAGGAGGGTATGCAGCAGTTTGGTTGGCTCAAGAGTGGGTTTGCCCTGGGTGGGACTGTTTCTGTGGCTGAAAGTGCAGAGGGTGGTTTCCCTTCATTGCAGGACCAGAGTCACAGCCATTCCCGAGCCCTGGGTTGTGGAGTTCAGCCACCTGTGTAGCTTTGGTGGCATGAAAATGGAGTCCCAGTGCTGGAAAGGTGCAGTGGCTACTGGCCCCAAGAGGAAGGCACACTCCAGAGGGAGCTGTGGTCTAAAGATGGCGCCATGCTGTAGTAACTTGGCTCATGGAGTGGGTGGGGAGTGGGGAATGCTCCTAATCTGGGGCAGTGCAACTGTACGAATTCCCAGCAGCTCTCCAAACTGGGCTCAGAACTTGCAAGGACTGGGGGATCCTCCTGTAATAAGGACTGTAGGTGTTTGCAGTGGCAGTGGGGGCAGGTGGGAATCTCCCGCTTACCTTTTCCTCACAGGGAGAAGGCCTTCATATGTCCAGGCCTCCTCAGTCCTGGTGGAAGAGATGGGGCCACAGAGGCTGGGGGCCTTCATGCTGCCCTCCTAGACTTTCAGTCACCACAGGGGCCTCTCCACTTCCCCACTGCAGTTCAGCACTTTCCCACACTGAAGTCAAATCTTAGCTGTTTATTCATTGCCTTAGTCCTTTCCTAAGAAAGGTGGGTGGGGGGGGGGGGGAGCGGGTGAGCACCAGCTGACTCTAATCAGTCATCTTGCTGATGTCCCACCCATCATTTATTCTATGATTTTTCATGAATCTGTTGAGAGCTCTAAAGATGAGTCTAATGTTCATCTCTTTGTTGAATTGGTCAGAAGGTCGTGTCCTGGACAAGATGATCTTCTCAGCTTGGACAGAATGCAGACAGGTGGGGAGAGGAGAGGAGCTACTTGAGAGGAGAAAAATCCTGAAAACATGGGGACTGAGGTGGAAATCATGTGTTTCCTGTTCCTTAGACAGCGAGACCAACTGGTCTCGTGCAGAAAGGGCACATGGATTATTAGAGGGAGTAAGGTTAAGATTGACAAATCAGAATGTGTTTATTCTGTTATGAATGCTACATTATAGTCACAAAATTGGTATTGAAACCCTGCATGTGTTTCTGTCTCTGAGCAACCAAATACTCCTTTTTTTTTTTTTTTTTTTGAGACAGAGTCTTGCTCCGCTACCCAGGCTGCAGTGCAGTGGCGCCATCTTGGCTCACTGCAACCTCCGCCTCTCAGGTTCAAGCGATTTTCCTGCCTCAGCCTCCCAAGTAGCTGGGATTACAGATGTCTGCCGCCAAGCCCGGCTAATTTTTTTTGTGTTTATTAGAGACAGGGTTTCATCATGTTGGACGGGCTGGTCTGGAACTCCTGACTTCAGGTGATCTGCCCGCCTCAGCCTCCCAGAGGGCTGGGATTACACACATGAGCCACTGCGCCCGGCTCCAAATACCCTTTAATGGGAAATTATATGGTCTTTTTTTAAAACAACAACAACATTGTAATCTGTAGTCGCAACATTGTGTCTGCTTGAGAAATAATATTTGTACCTTTGGGGTCACGTAGCCTCTGAGACAAACTTTGTCCTAATAAAAAGGCCGCTGTTCGGCCTTCTGTTTTTGAAATTTAAGAACCTCATTTATTACCAACTTCTTTTAGGATTATTAACTCAAACATCTCTTGGAGGATTAGTACAAATATTATGTTCTCCCATCATCTCTATAACAGGCTGTAATTCTGAGGACCAAGCTTGTGCCTTATTCATCCTTGTATCTCGTCCAGCACTGAATACAGTTCCTGGCATAAACTAATGATGCAATAAATTGTGTTTGAATTGAATTTTCAAAGCATTCAAGGCTGGCCACCTCTGCACTTGTGGGAGTAATTTGCATTTGAGCTGCATGTTTTGAGATATATCATGCATTTAATATTGTTCTTTAGGTCCAGCCTGATGAGTGAAGAGGCTAAGCGAGGAGCACCCAACCCTTGGCTCTTTGAGGAGCCAGAGGAGACCAGAGGCTTGGGTTTTGATGAAATCCGGCAACAGCAGCAGAAAATTATCCAAGGTACTAAATATCCTGAGGAGTGTGGGCTCAGAAACCTTGCCAGAATTTTTTTTTTTTTTTTTTTGAGACGGAGTCTTGCTATGTCGCCTAGGCTGGAGTGCAGTGGCGTGATCTTGGCTCACTGCAACCTCCACCTCCCGGGTTCAAACGATTCTCCTGCCTCAGCCTCCCGAGAAGCTGGGACTACAGGTGCGTGCCACCATGCCCGGCTAATTTTTTGTATTTTTAGTACAGACAGGGTTTCACCCTGTTAGCCAGGATGGTCTTGATCTCCTGACCTCATGATCTTCCCACCTTGGCCTCCCAAAGTGCTGGGATTACAGGTGTGAGCCACCGTGCCCGGCCACCAGATTTTCTACTGGAGCCTTGTTTGTTCCTCATCCCCATTGAAAATTGGAGTGAAAACTGCTGGTCTTTTAAAGCTTTTGGTGTGTGCCTCAGGATACCTGAGGAATAGACAGTTGCTGTCACTCATCTCGGTGGCTCATGGAAGTGGTGATTTTCCATTGGGCAAGAGCAGAGAGAGCAGATCTGAATCTAAGTCCAAGCAAATTTGATGCTTATGCTCTTTACTTTAGCTTCACGACTGGGAATTAGTCTCCAAACACAAGACTCCATTTTATTTTTTAAATTATAAAATATGTCAGTTTGGCTTTTCTTTTTTATCTTTTGCCCTGTGGCTTTTTAACTTTTTTTTTTTAAACTTTCTTATATTTTTAAAATTTCAGAAGTATGCATGATTGTTATACAAAGTGTAAACAACATAGGAATGTATAAGATGAAAGCCCTCCATATTGTTTCTCCAATCTCAAACTGGAAACAGATTAATATGTATTTCCTTAGACCTTTTGTATACATTCACATACATATATTCAATATAAATATACTTATTTTACATAAATGGAATCATGAGATATTTAGCTCTCTCCATATATATATATAATTCCACACCTTTTTAAAACTTAGTATGTGTCGGCTGGGTGTGGTGGCTCACGCCTGTAATCCCAGCACTTTGGGAGGCTGAGGCAGGAGGATCACCTGAGATCAGGAGTTCGAGACCAGCCTGGCCAACATGGTGAAACGCCGTCTCTACTAAAAATAAAAAATTAGCTGGGTGTGGTGGCACGCACCTGTAGTCCTAGCTACTCAGGAGGCTGAGGCAGGAGAATCGCTTGAACCCAGGAGGCAGAGGTTGCAGTGAGCCGATATAGCATGTCACTGCACTCCAGCCTGTGCAACAGAGTGAGACTCCATCTCAAAGGAAAAAAAAGAAAAAACCACTTAGTATGTGTTATGGACTTTTTAAAATGTCAGTATGTACAGATACATTATTCTTTCTAATTCTGCTTTTTAAAATCAGCTTTATTGCCAGGCCTGGTGGCACATGCCTGTACTCCTGACACTTTGGGAGGCCAAGGCAGCAGGATGGCTTGAGTGTAGGAGTTTGACACCAGCCTAGGCAACATAGTAAAATCCCATCTTTAAAAAAATTAATGAATAAAAAGGAAGAGGGAGGAGGAGGAGGAGAAAATAAATCTAAAGTCAGCTTTATTGAGATGTAGTTGATATGATCATAAATGGCCCATGTTTGAAGTATATGATTTGATAAGCTTTGACATATGTATATGCCTGTGAAACCATCACTGCAATAAAAATAATGAACCTAATTGTTATTCCCAAAAGTTTTCTTCATGCCTCTTTGTAATTCTTCCTATTGTTCCTCCCTGCCATGCCCAGACAACTGCTGAACTTCTTTCTGTCACTATAAATTAGTTTCCATTTTCTATAATTTTATATAAATAGAACTATACAGTATGTACCTTTTGGGGAAGAAGGGGCTCTGGCTTCTTTGTCTAAGCATAATTATTTTAAGATTCATTGAACTGGTTATGTGTATCAGTATTTCACTCTTTTTTTTTTTTTTTTTTTTTTGAGACAGAGTCTGGCTTTGCTGCCTAGACTGGAGTGCAGTGGTACGATCTCAGCTCACCACAACCTCCACCTCCTGGGTTCAAGCAATTCTCCTGCCTCAGCTTCCCGAGTGGCTGGGATTACGGGCGCCCGCCATCATGCCCAGCTAATTTTTTTTGTATTTTTAGTAGAGATGGGGTTTCACCATGCTGGCCAGGCTGGTCTCGAACTCCTGACCTCAAGCGATCCACTCGACTCGGCCTCCCAAAGTGCTGGGATTACAGGCATGAGCCACCGCG
The DNA here is from genome assembly GCF_000001405.40 of Homo sapiens. Classification (NCBI taxonomy): domain Eukaryota; kingdom Metazoa; phylum Chordata; class Mammalia; order Primates; family Hominidae; genus Homo; species Homo sapiens. The sequence goes on along the minus strand of NC_000017.11, from coordinate 9,502,827 downwards.
CCCGGCCTGCATTTCACTCTTATATTATAGATTTGTATTCCATTGTATGGATTTACCACAATCTGTGTATCCATTCACCTGTTGATTAATATTTGGGTGGTTTTCAGTTTTTGACTGTTACAAAGAAAGCTGCTATTAGCATTCATGTATAAGACTTTGTATGGACGTAAATTTGCATTTTTTCTGGGGTAAATACCTACAAGTGGAATGAGTGAGTCATATAGTAGCTGTTTGACTTTTTAAATTTAAAACAATTTTTAATTTGCAAGTAAAAATTATATTTATGGTTTGCAATGTGTTGTTTCAAAATATGTATACATAGTAGAATGGGCAAATCAATCTAATTAACTTATGTATAAGCTCACATGCATATTTATTTATGGTGAGAACACTTAAAATCTACTCTCTTAGCAATTTTTAAGTATATTAGTTACCCTGTTGTACAGTCGATCTTTTGAGCTTATTCTTTCTGTCTAACTGAAATTTTGTATTCTGTGACCCACATCTCCTCATCTCTCCCCCAAACCCCAGGGCTGGGTAACCACTCCTCTGCTCTCTGCTTCTCTGTTCATCTTTTTCAGATTCTGCATATAAATGAGATCATATGGTATTTGCCTGGCTTTCTTTGCCTACAAATCCCAGCAGTGGGATTGCTAGTATCACTTTTAATTTTTTGAAGAACCTCCATACTGTTTTCCATAATGGTTGCAGTAAATTTACATCCCCACCAACAGTGTGCAGGGATTCGCTTTTCTCCACATTCTTGCCAACACTTGTTATCTTTTTTCTTTTTGATCATAGCCATTCTGACAGGTGTGAGGTGACAGCTCATCATGTTTGGTTTGTTTGTTTGTTTTTTGAGACAGAGTCTTGCTCTGTCGCCCAGGCTGGAGTGCAGTGACGCAATCTCTGCTCACTGCAAGCTCCACCTCTCAGGTTCACGCTATTCTCCTGCCTCAGCCTCCCGAGTAGCTGGGACTACAAGCACCCACCACCATGCCTGGCTAATTTTTTGTATTTTAGAGATGGGGTTTCACCGTGTTAGCCATGCTGGTTTCGATCTCCTGACCTCGTGATCCGCCTGCCTCGGCCTCCCAAAGTGCTGGGATTACAGGCGTGAGCCACCGTGCCTGGCCTGTTTATTTTTTTGAGACTGTTGCCCAGGCTGGAGTGCAGTGGCGTGATCCTGGCTTACTGCATCCTCCGTCTCCCAGGTTCAAGCGATTCTCCTGCCTCAGCCTCCTGAGTAGCTGGGATTACAGGCATGTACCACCATGCCCAGCTAATTTTTGTATTTTTAGTAGAGATGGGGTTTCTCCATGTTGGCCAGGCTGGTCTCAAACTCCTGACCTCAGGTGACCCACCCACCTCGGCCTCCCAAAGTGCTGGGATTACAGATGTGAGCTGCTGCGCGTATGGGCCTATTTCTGTTGTACTCTCTGTTCTTTTCCATTGGTCTATTTGTTTATCTTTATACCAATGCCTCACTGTATTAATTATTTTACCTTTATGATGGGTCATTAAGTAAGATAGTACAGGTCATCCAGCTTCGTTTATTTTTACAATTTTATTGGATATTCTAGGTCTTTTGCATTTCCATGTGAATTCTAGAATCTGTTTTTAATTTTACAAAAGAAAGCTTCCTGGGCATTTGATTGGGATTACATTGAATTTTTAGATTAGTTTGAGGAGAATTGATATTTTAACACTATTGAGTCTCAAATTCTCTCAGCAATGCCTTTTAGTTTTTGCTATACGTGTCTTATATATCTTTTATCCTATTTATCCCTAAATAGTTCATATCTTTTATTTTATTTTATTTTTTGAGACAGTCTCACTCTGTGACCCAGGCTGGAGTGCAGTAGCGAGATCTTGGCTCCCTGCAAGCTCTGCCTCCTGGGTTCACGACATTCTTCTGCCTCAGCCTCCCAAGTAGCTGGGACTACAGGTGCCCGCCACCACGCGCGGCTAATTTTTTGTATTTTTTTAAATAGAGACAGGGTTTCACCATGTTAGCCAGGATGGTCTCAATCTCCTGACCTCGTGATCTGCCCGCCTCGGCCTCCCAAAGTGCTGGTATTACAGGCGTGAGCCAGCACGCCCGGCCTTCATATCTTTTATTCTAAGTAGCATTTTTAAAATATCAATTTCTAATTGTTGCTTGTATATCAAAATACAGTTGATCTTTGTATATTGATCTTGGATCATGCAGCCTTGCCAAAGTCACTAATTTCTGAATGACACTCAGCTCGAGACTCAAAGTGGCCCCTGTGCAGATCTACAGAGTACTCTCTGCAGTCCTCTCTGGTCCTGTGCCCTACATCCTCTAACCACCATGGCCTCTTGGGACTTTTCTCAACTCGAGGAAAATGCTGGGTTCCACCTGTGTTCTCCCATCCCCACACCATGGCTTGGGAACTCTTATGAGGTAGTAATCCGGGGCAGTCTTAGAACTCACCTCATTTGTTTCCCGTCTCTCAGGGATCACTGCCCTTCATTTCCTGATGTCCATGTCTTAAAACTGTTGTTTCGTATATTTACCCTGTTTTGTTTTGTTTTTCCAGTTGTTTCAGTCCAGAAGGAAGTCTGGTGCCTGTCAGTCCATCTTGGGCAGAAGCAGAAATCTGATTCTATTTCGAATTCCCTTTTCACAGTGAAATTATTGAGTCAGTGAAACACCGTGACTCTCTTACATCTTCAGTTTTACATACTTCACCCATTACCATATTTGGAGGAAAGTGAAAAAAATGAAAAACAACACAGCTTTACATGCAGCACAACCATTCGCTCTTCAGGACTCACATTTCCTGAATGGAGCACCTTATAGCTAATACTCATGCATTTTCTGGCATTGTTGCATTTTGCCAAGAAAAGCTGTTTTCAGTCGGGAAGAGTATGCTCGTCCCGGAGAAGGTGCTATTTTCAGGGGTTGCTTTAGGTCAGTGTGAGAGGATGCTCCTCAAAGTGTTTGTCACAGTCTCCAAAACAGAGCTTCCTTATGAAGATTCTCACCCTTGGGAAGCCTGCTGGCCTGTGGGGTGTGGGTGGAGTTTGCGGGGAGCGGCAGCGCAGGTTGCAGGTCAGTTTCTCTCCACTGCTCTTACCTTTGTGTTTTGAAATGCTATGTTCCGGCTGGGCGTGGTGGCTCACGCCGGTAATCCCAGCACTTTGGGAGGCAGAGGCAAGCACATCACAAGGTCAAGAGATCGAGACCATCCTGGCCAACATGGTGAAACCCCATCTCTACTAAAAATACAAAAATTAGCTGGGCGTCCGTGGCGGGCGCCTGTAGTCCCAGCTACTCGGGAGGCTGAGGCAGGAGAATGGCTTGAACTCGGGAGGCGGAGGTTGCAGTGAGCCGAGATTGTGCTACTACACTCCAGCCTGGCGACAGGGCAAGACTGCTTCAAGAAAAAGAAAGAAAGAAATGCCATATTCCTCTTTGCTAGCGAGCTGTTTTTCAAGGACAAATACAAAAAATGGAAGTAATCTTCACACAGAACCCTTATTAGCCTTTTCTCTGCCTCAAGAATCTTGACAATGTGCTGAAGTTGCTATGGCTTTGTTTGCGTCCTTGCCAGGTCCTGCATTAAATGAAAATAAAGAGCCACAAAAGGTCATTTCTGACTTCCTTTAGCCCGTGGAATCCCTTAGCCATTCTGCACTCTAGCTGACCCTTAGAAACTTTGAAAATCATCCCAAAATTACAGTTTACTGGTAGAACATAGACTGAAGGGCAGGGAATGCCTTCCTTGCCTAACCTAGAAGTGAAGCCTCATCGTAACAAATTAGCCAATTTGGCTTCTGTGCCCCTTCAGCTGTAATTTGAAGCATGAAATGGGCATTAGGCAGAAGATGGGTGGGTGATGACAATCACTTAATTGCCTCAAAGATCCCTGAGATAGAAGGAACAAGGGTACTTGTTTCTTGTTTCAAAATGCTTTGGTTATTATACACCCTTGTCCCTGAGTGGGATCGCAGACCTTGGAGAAGTATGAAGTGTCATTCCACCTTCACCCAGGAGGTCTTTCTTGATGGGGTTTCTTCATCAGCTTCATCTAGTCTTATGAATTTTCTATAGATGTTCTTTCTAGACTCTAGCAGGAAATTGTGCAATCGTTCTAGATTTCTGCGTTCTTAGGTCTCTTGGTGTTTGCATGTGAAATGGGGCTGTAGAAGGTGGCTAGCCAGACTCCATTTCACACTGGGGAATCTTAGTAGCTAACCTTTGAACCCTTGCAGTCACAGCTTCACAGAAAACTTTCTTTGAAGATACCCTTTCTTGTAGCTGTCACCTAGACTAGAAGGATTCCTTTCCTAAAATCTTAAAACAAAAATAAAAACATCTATTCTTAAACTTGCTCTGAGTCTTCTAACATAGTGATTAACTTTTTATCTAGCTTGACCTAATTTTTCTTTTCTTTTGTTTTTTTTTTTTGAGATGGTGTCTCACTCTGTCACCCAGGCTGGAGTGCAGTGGTGCGATCTCAACTCAATACAACCTCCATCTCCTGGGTTCAAGTGATTCTCCAGCCTCAGCCTCCCAAGTAGCTGGGACTACAGGTGCATGCCACTGCATCTGGCTAATATTTGTATTTTTAGTAGAGACAGGATTTTGCCATGTTGGCCAGGCTGGTCTCGAACTCCTGACCTCAGATGATCCCCCCCCACCTCAGGCTCCCAAAGTGCTAGGATTACAGGCGTGAGCCACTGCACCTGGGTGACCTGATTTTCTTCTCTTTCATTCCTACCTTCCTTTATTGAGGGAGAGCTCCTTCTGTATGTTAAATGTGAAAGGTTCATTGCTTCTCTGTGGGCACTGGACAACACAACATCAACTACTTTTTTGACTGTGTAAACTCAGAGGGCTCTCTAGTATTGGCCAGGAGTCTTTCTGTCTAGCAGAGACTGTATTCCTTTCTTTTGTAAACCTAGAGGGCCCTCCCTCTGTGGTCATTCATTGATTTAAACAAGTGTTGTACATTTCAGTCCTTGATTTAAATATGTTGGTGCTCCGTGCCACTAGCTGGGCTCAGATCTGGGGCAAAGACATAGAAAAAGAAGAAGTCTCATGTATGTCAAAGACACAGGAAAAGAAGACAGTCATTGGGGTCTGGATCTTGTACTCAATCCAGGGACTGTAGTTGCAGCTCTTAGGGATGTCCCTCTGTTGTATTGTTAAAATATTGATAACTTTTTACTATGGAAAATTTCAAACGTGTAATAGTAGAGAGTGTCAGATAATGACTTTGTCCTACTCATCCTCCAGCCTCAGTGATTGTCAACCCATAGCCAATCTGTTCACATGTATATGCCATCCCGTAACCTACCCATCCTACCCAGCCCCTAGGTTATTTTGGGAGCAAATCCCAGACATCGTATCATTTCATCAGTGGATATTTGAGAATATATATCTGAAATATGTTTGGAAAAGATAAATACTGTTTTGGAAAACTATAGTCACATGCCATTATCATCCTTAAGAAGTTAACAATATTTCCTGAATCTAATCAAATACTCAGCATTCAAGTTTCCCTGATTGTGCTGTGATGTTTTCTTTTAGGTAGTTCAATTCAGGATCTAAATATGGCCCATACATTGCAACTAGTTATGTCTCTTAAGTTTCTTTAATATACAGGTTCTTTTTCCAACTCTTCCTTTTTCTTCTATGCAGTTTCTTCATTGAAACTGCATTTGCCCTTTAGTTTCCCACTATCCAGATCTTGCATTTCTGAATGTCTACAGATAGGAAATATCCAAACACCTAATGGTTTCAAGGGGATTTTTAAAAAATGATTGTATTAGTTTTCTATTGCTGCTTTAATAAATTAGCACAAACTTAGTGACTTAAAACACATTTATGATCTTACAGTTCTGTAGGTGAGTAGTCCAATGCAGGTCCCACAGGGCTCAGATCAAGCAGTTAGCTTGATTCTTTTCTGGAGGCTCATTCTGGAGAATTCGTTCCCTTACTTTTTGTAGCTTCTAGAGGGCTCCCACATCTCTTCTTTCGTCTTCAAAGCCAGTAAGTTATCTCTCTCTGACCCTTCTTCATACTCCCTCTGATGGCAGCTGGGAAAGGTTCTCTGCTTTTCAGGACTCATATGATTATACTGGATCCACCTGGATAATCCAGGCTAATCCCCCGTCTCAGATTTTTAACCTTAATCACATCTGCAAAGTCCCTTTTGCCATGTAAGGGAACATATTCATAGTTTCTGGGGATTAGGATATGGACATCTTAAACATGGGGGATATTATTCTATCTGTAACAATGATCCATCCATTTTTAAAAATTCAAATCATTGTAAAATAGAATAATGACTGATAGAGTGTGGTATGTTACAATTGCCCTCTTGTGATATCATCATGACTTGGGTTATGTGAAAGAGTAGGGCAGATTTTGGCAGTTATGACATGATGGTAGTTTTGTTGGTAAGAAAGTACATGGTGGCTGGGTGTGGTGGCTCACGCCTGTAATCCCAGCACTTTGGGAGGCCGAGGCAGCTGGATCACCTGAGGTCAGGAGTTCGAGACCAGCCTGGCCAACATGGCAAAACCTCGTCTCTACTAAAAATACAAAAATTAGCTGGACATTGTGGTGGATGCCTGTAATCCCAGCCACTGGGGAGGCGGAGACAGGAGAATTGCTTGAACTTGGAAGGTGGAGGTTACAGTGAGCCGAGATCATGCCATTGTACTCCAGCCTGGGCGACAAGAGCGAAACTCTGTCTCAAAAAAAAAAAAAAAAAGAGAAAGAAAAAGAAACTGCATGGTATGGTTTCTTCTTCTTTTTTTCTTTTTGAGACAGGAGTCTTGCTATATTGCCCCTGGCTGGACTTGAACTTCTGGGCTCAAGCAGTCCTCCTGCCTTAGCCTCCCGAATAGCTGAGACTACAGGCGCACACCACCATGCCCATGCATGGTTCTTGATTATTTATATTTTTGCAGTCAGCAGCATTGTGTTTTGATCATTGTCTCTAAGATAGCCATACCACCTTCCCCTTAGAAATGCCTCTTCAGGACTTGGGGAAGCCCAGGTTATGAATGTGATTATTATTACCTCTACAGCATCTCGATTATCTGAATCTTCTGTGTCTTTGGATTGTGTAATGAAAATTTACTGCAGCACTTAAAGATGTGGAGAGAATTGCTAAGCTTATACAAATTATTAGAGGGGAACAGAACTTTTAGTTCTCTTTCTCATGTGCATTAGATGATCATCAGGTTGCTAAATCAGATAATGAGTCAAGTTTGAGATTAAAGAGTGTAATTAGTGTATTTTTCATTCATAATCTATGTCTCTACTAGATAAAGCAATTTTAGGAGTTTAATGACTCTTTTCCTAATGGAAACTGTGGAGGAATTGCCTTTCCTATTTTTAAATGGTTTTATCTTTTAATCCACGTTGACACTCAACCCTCAGTCCTATATATATAGATTATTCATCAGATGCATTTAGAATTTTACTATAACATCAGTCATCCTATAGGAGCACTTGGTTGAGGATGGATTTATCTTGGAGGCCATCCAAGAGGTTGTTATTAAAGACCAAGAGGACCTCATTATAAAGTGATTTTACTATAAAATGGTCCTTGTGAATGATCCCTAAAGACGGCAGGTCATTTGTATAGTTAAAAAAAGTACAGTGTGTCAAACAATGTCACAAAGGGGTTGTTACCTCACACCGTTAGTTTAAATAAATTCCAGATGAATTAAAGAGCTAAGTTTGATGATTTAATTCCATAAAAAGACTTGGAAAAAATATAAGTAAATGTTAATGCGACCTCGAGTAAGACCTTTGTGATTTTTGCTTTTGTAGATAAGCCTTTATGTGAAACAGTCATTTCAAAAACCCTGTAGACAAATGAAGCTGCGAGGGGTACAATGTTACCTTCATGCGGCGTGTTCCGTGGTGAACAAGAGTCATTACACTCAGCTTCACAGTGTTCTCAAAGCACCTGAAATTAGAGGAAGAAAATTTTTACAAAGACATGACCGAGACCCCCAGTTCAAAATATACATATTAAATTTTAAAGAAAGGATCGTGAGTAACTTGAGTTTAACTCACCTTTTTCTTTAAATTTTCAAAAACTAACTTTGCTCTTTAAATTTGCAAAAAGTTTCAAAGTAATACATTTTCATTTTTAAAACAAAAGCTGTTGTACTATACTTTGTTTTGTATCTTTTTTTTTTTTTTTTTTTTTTTTTTGAGACAGGTTCTCACTCTGTTACCCAGGCTGGAGTGCAGTGGCGCCATCTCGGCTCACTGTGACCTCTGCCTCCCATGCTCAAGTGATCCATCCACCTCCGAGTAGCTGGGACTATAGGCATGCGCCACCACACCCAGATAATGTTTGTATTTTTAGTAGAGACAGACAGTGTTGCCCAGTCTGGTCTCAAACTCCTGGGCTTAAGTGATCTGCCCGCTTCAGCCCCCTAAAGTGCTGGGATTACAGGCGTGAGCCACTGCGCCCAGCTTCCTGCTTTTTTACTTAAGAACATATCATGGGGGCCGGGGGCGGTGGCTCACGCCTGTAATCCCAGCACTTTGGGAGGCCGAGGCGGGCGGATCACGAGGTCAGGAGCTCGAGACCATCCTGGCTAACACGGTGAAACCCCGTCTCTATTAAAAACACAAAAAATTAGCCGGGCGTGGTGGCGGGCGCCTGTAGTCCCAGCTACTCGGGAGGCTGAGGCAGGAGAATGGCGTGAACCCGGGAGGTGGAGCTTGCAGTGAGCCGAGATCGCGCCACTGCACTCCAGCCTGGGCGACAGAGTGAGACTCCATCTCAAAAACAACAACAACAACAAAAAAACAAAACAAAAAAAAACAAAACATATGAACTTCTTTCAACATCAAAATATAGATAAACAATATGATTTTCAGTGGCTATACAGTGTTTTACTATGTGGATATACTATAAATTTATAAACATCTCTGTGTTTGGGCATTTAGGTACTTTCTAATTTTTCACTATTATAAGTATATCACTATGGGTCTGATCAGGAGAGAGAAATTTGACAGGGAAAGTTGAATGTAAATTATTAATTTTAACAGGGATTAGAGTAACGAGGGATTAGCTAACAAGAGGTCAAAAGAACTCTCAAAACAGAACTAGCAGGGATAAGGTGCAATCACCAAGTCTCAGGCTGAGACAGAATGTCCAGGGAGGAGCCCACGCCCCTAGGGCTAAGAGAAGGCTCAGCTGAGGGTCCCTGAATTTCACAGAAGCCCCCGTGGTGCCCTGCTGTCAGAACCTCCTGGAGATCTGCCCTCTGGGATGCTGGGGGAAACTCTTCATGGGGAAGAACCTCCCTGGAGGCGCTCTTGTTATAAACCTGCCCGAGGAGGGGGTGTGCTGGGAGAAGTTGCTGGTTCTGGGTATTGCTGGCCACTGTGCACTGAAGGGGCCAGGCACTGAAGGAGTTGCAGTTGCTGAAGGAGCCTGCCAAGATTGCAGGCTGGAGCCAGGAAGCAAAAACTCTGACAAAGGAAAAAGTATTCAAGCAGCCTTGGTTCATTTTCTTTTTTAAAAAATTTTCAAATTATTTTTTATTTAGAGACAGAGCCTCTCTCTATCACCCAGGCTGGGGTGCAGTGGCGTGATCATGGCTCACTGCAGCCTCGAACTCCTGGATGATCAACCAATCCTCTCACCTCAGCCTCCCAAGTAGCTGACACTACAGGTACATGCCATCGTGCCTAGCTAATTTTTTTTTTTTTTTTGAGACGGAGTCTCACTCTGTCACCCAGGCTGGAGTGCATTGGCGCAATCTCAGCTCACTGCAATCTCCGCTTCCTGGGTTCACACCATTCTCCTGCCTCAGCCTCCCCAGTAGCTGGGCCTACAGGTGTCTGCCACCAGGCCCAGCTAATTTTTTTTTGTATTTTTAGTAGAGACGGGGTTTCACTTTGTTAGCCAGGATGGTCTCGATCTCCTGACCTCGTGATCCACCCGCCTTGGCCTCTCAAAGTGCTGGGATTACAGGCGTGAGCCACCGCGACTGGCTGCCTGGCTAATTTTTTAAAGAAAATTTTCTAGAGGTGAGATCTTACTTTTTGATGCAGGATGGTTTTGAACTCCTGGCTTCAAGTGAACCTCCTGCCTTGGCTTCCCAAAGTGGCTGGGATAACAGGCATGAGCCACTGTGCCCAGCTGGTTCATCTTCATAGAGCAGCCAAAAAGAGGGAATTTGTTGCTGAGAGGCACTAAGTTGATATCTGGCACAAGAAACAAATGTTTCAGGGAATATCCTTGTATATCCATCATTACATGCTATCTGAATATTTTCTTACATACATTCCTAGACTTAGAATTGGCAGGTAAAAAGGTGGGCACAGTCTACACTTGAGAAATACGGCCGTCAGTAAAACTTATTCACCTATTACATAGTACTTGGGAGCTTCTAGATCGTCACAATTTAATTAACCTTAGGTATTGTCATTCTTTTTAATCCTTATACATCTGATAAGCCAAAAAAAGTAGTTTTTTATTTGTATTTTTAAAAAAATTAGTAGCGATGTTAAAACTTTATTTTCTTTTTTATTGTGAAGTTCTTGCCTGTATCCTCTGCTGATTTAAAAAATTGGGATATTCAGTCTTTTTCTTATTGATTTGTACATGCTCTTTATATATTAAGTATCAGAAAGTTTAAATGTTCATGTTTCCAAATCTTACTTTGTTTTTCATATTTAAAATCTTAATTCTTTTGGAAATCGTTTTAGTTTAAGGTGTCAGGTAGGTGTTTAGTTTTTAAATTTTGTTCCAATAATGTTAACTCTTTTCTCTTTTTTTTCCTGACTGATTTATATGTCAACTTGTGTTATATGCCTGGGTATACTTATGGACTTTAAGTTGTTTTCTTCTAGTTTCTAGTTAATTATTTTTCTTTTTTCTTTCAGAACAGGACGCAGGCCTTGATGCCCTTTCCTCTATCATAAGTCGCCAAAAACAAATGGGGCAGGAAATTGGGAATGAATTGGATGAACAAAATGGTAAGAATAAGTCTGGGATTGACCAGATTTGCCGTTGACATAAATACTAAAGGCTTGAGCATTTGTTGAATGAGTTTAAGATTATACAACATGTAAAGTGGTTTAATGTCAATGATTGTTACAGTTTAACGCATTGGAGTGGGGGTTGTGGCAGATTTAGATGATAGTTGTTAAATACTATGCAAAGAAATTTGGTGAAAAATTTTCCAGTTCTCAGTAGCTGCTTTTAACAATACTGTGTTTTATGATCCATTCATCCCAAGAGCTTTTCTTCTATGTGGCAGTGATATGAAATTGCTCAGCACTTTGTACACTGAGGCTGTGTGGGCCTCCTGTCATCCCCACACCCGGTGGAGTTTGCTCTTCTTCGATCCTATGTACCAGGCTTCAGGGCAAAAAAGGGTTTGAAGATCTTTGTTCAGGGTTTGATGTGACAAGTCTGGTTGGAAAAAGATGAATTTGCAAACTGCAAGCAGGGTGGATTGGGGAGTGTTTAAGACGTGTAGGCATCTGCAAGGCTCTTGGCTTGAGGAGGGCCTGGATGGGTTGTAGGGGCAGAAAGGGGGAAGAAATACGGGGGCACGGGATTGCCAGTGATTTTACGTTAAGGATGAAGTTGGGAAACTTGAGAGCAGACACTGGTTTTTGGGTGAGATGGTAAGTCCAGTTTGCATGTGTCTAATTAGAGATGCCGGCGGGAGATGTCCAGTTGACAGTGGGAGACAGGGTACCAGAGCTCAGGGAGAGGGCGGAGCCAAAGAGAAGAGATGGGAGCAGCTGCAGTGTAGAGGTGACGTGTGACAGCGTGGAGTCGTTGAGTGGCAGTGAAGCTGGCATTTATGGAAAGCCCCCACTATGTGCTAAGCCCTTTCATCTATGTCATTTCATTTCATCTCCACACAACATCATGAAGGCGGCACCCTCCTCGTGTGAGAGGCAAAACTCAGAGTGGCTGCAGGGCCCCCTGAGACCACATCGCTTATGAGTGACAGAGCTAAACTCCAGCTCAGGTCTTCTGATTCTAACGTGACTGCTTTTGCTGCTAAACTGGCTTCCTCTCTAAAGAAGACAAAGTAGGAAGAGAAAAAGAAAATGTAAAGTATTCTATCTAAGGTTTCAGCTTTTAGTAATAACACGATGGAATGGCTTTCAAGAAAAGTTATCAGGTGGGTGCGGTGGCTCACACCTGTAATTCCAACACTTTGGGAGGCTGAGGCAGGCGGATTACAAGGTCAGGAGACCAGCCTGGCCAACATGATGAGACCTCATCTCTACTAAAAATACAAAAAATTAGCTGGGCGTGGTGGCCCACACCTGTAGTCACAGCTACTCGGGAGGCTGAGGCAGGAGAATTGCTAGAACCCAGGAGGCGGAGGTTGTGGTGAGCCGAGATTGTACCATTGCACTCCAGCCTGGGCGACAGAGCAAGTCTCCGTCTCAAAAAAAAGAAAAGTTATCATGTATGAGCAAGCATCGAAGCCCTGGGGATAGACGAACACCTGCTTTGAAGAGAGGGCTGCACTTCTCAGAATCCTACAGCAGACACTTCTATTCTCCATCCTTGGGAAGAATGAGTTAATTTGTTCCTGCAGTGCTGTTCCATTTATCTGTCATAAATCAATTCCATCTGTTTATCATCTATCATAAATAAATAGATTACTAAATCCAATGGAGAAGCCTTCTCTCTTTACAATTCTAATAGTTTCAGCACAGAGAGGACAACTTAGTTCTTTCCCTGATGGTACCAACACGAACAGGCTAATTTATGTATTTGCATATAATTCAGTTATTGGTCAGTTCCTTCCTTAAGTGATAGTATTGATAAGAAAGTAAGCTTTATAGGCCGGGCACGGTGGCTCATTCCTGTAATCACAGCACTTTGGCAGGCTGAGGCGGGTGGATCACGAGGTCAGGAGTTTGAGACCAGCCTGGCCAGCATGGTGAAACCCTGTCTCTACTAAAGATACAAAAAATTAGCCAGGCATGGTGTTGTATGCGTGTAATCCCAGCTACGCGGGAGGCTGAGGCAGGAGAATCGCTTCAACCTGGGAGGCAGACGTTGCAGTGAGCCGAGATTGTGCCACTGCACTCCAGCCTGGGCGATAGAGTGACAATCCATCTCAAAAAAAAAAAAAAAGGAAAGTAAGCTTTATAGAAAATCTGCCTATCTGGTGTACAATTGTTCCTCATCCCAAGGACATTTAGCCTATTCGATGGGTGAGACTAGAGAGGACTCTAGCCACCAAACTGATGATCATGTGTTGTGATATACGTGCAGGTAAGCTGCAGTGTCTGCGGGTGGATGGCTAACAAGTGATGGTGCTTTACATGCATAATTTGGTGGGATGATTTACTAAGTTCCCATATGAAAGCACCGTTTCTTTGTCCAGCATAAGGCAATCAAGCCGCACGTCTTTATCTTGTCTTTCGTCTGGTTTAGTGGTTATCATACTTTGCTGCATATTAGAATCACCTGGGCTGCTTTTAAAACTCCAAGAGCCCAGGCCATACCTGTGTTAGTTTTCTTTTTTGTTGTTGTTTTCATTTTTTTTAATTTGATTTTTAAAATTAGCTTCCTCAGGTTGAAGTGTGTTAGTTTTCTGTTGCTGTTGTAACAAATTACCACCAGTTTAGTGGCTTAAAACAACACAAGGCTGGGTGCAGTGGCTCACGCCTGTAATCCCAGCACTTTGGGAGGCCGAGGTGGATGGATCATTTGAGGTCAGGAGTTCGAGACCAGCCTGGCCAACGTGGTAAAACCCCACCTGTACTAAACATACAAAAATTAGCCGGGCGTGGTGGCAGGCGCCTGTAGTCCCAGCTACTTGGGAGGCTGAGGCAGGAGAATCGCTTGAACCCAGGAGGCAGGGGTTGCAGTGAGCTGAGATTGCACCACTGCACTCCAGCTTGGGTGACTGAGCGAGACTCTGTCTCAAAACACACACACACACACACACGTGACCGAGCGAGAGACTCTCAAAACACACACACACACACACACACACACTCTCTCTCTCTCTCTCTCTCTTTCTCTCTTAATGTCTTACAGTTCTGTGGGCTAGAAGTTTGATGTGAGTCACACTGGGCTAAAACTAAGGCATGGGCAGGGTGGCTCTTCCTTCTGGAGGATGTAGGGGAGAATTCATATCTTTGATTTTCCAGCTTTGAGAGGTCCAGCTACATTCCTTGGCCCATGACCCCTTCCTCCGTCTTCAAAGACAACAACAGTAGGTTGAGTGCCTCTCATATGGCATCACTTGTACCTCTGACTGCTGCCTCCCTCTTCTACTTTTAAGGACCCTTGTCATGACATTGGGCCCACCCAGATAATCCAGGATCACCTCCTCATGTTGAGGTCAGCTGATGAGCAACCCATATTCCATCTACAAGCTTAATGGCTCGTTTGCCATTTAACCTAACATATTCACAGACACCAGGGACTACGAGCTGGACATCTTTAGGGAGCCACTGTTCTGTCTACCACAGTAATTTTTTTTTTTTTAAGACAGAGTTTCGCCCTTGTTGCCCAGGCTGGAGTGCAGTGGTGCGATCTCGGCTCACTGCAACCTCCATCTCCCGGGTTCAAGCGATTCTCCTGATTCAGCCTCCCAAGTAGCTGGGATTACAGGCGCCTGCCACCATGCCCAGCTAATTTTGTATTTTTGGTGGAGACGAGGTTTCACCCTGTTGGCCAGGCTGTTTTCAAACTCCTGACCTCAGGTGATCTACCCGCCTCGGCCTCTCAAAATGCTGGGATTACAGGCATGAGCCACTGCACCCAGCCTACCACAGTAATTTTATACCAAGTGAATCACAACCTCCAGGGGTGGGGCCCAAGCATCAGTAGTTTTTGAAGCCACCCCTGATGATTTCAAGGTGCTGCCAGATTTGAGAAGCAGTGCCCTTGTTGAATATGCAGACAATGTATTTAGCGCTGTACTTTGTATTGGTTCTTATATGCTCACATTACAGGTCTAAATCCCCCACATGCACAGAAGCGCATCCACGTGGCGACGTGTATATACACAGCATCACAGTCACAGTCAGAGGTCCTTCGACTCGCACATTTTGCCCCTATCCCTTTTGCTGCTTCCCCCACACCTCCCCTGTCCTCATCTCCATCTCATACCCGGGTGGCTACATGTGTACATATACAAATAGGAGGTATTTTTCCATTCGTTGCCAGTGCAAACTTGGTTTTCTCTGTGGTGGCCTCCCGGAGAGAAGGCAGCTATGCTGGTGGTTTTCTAATGTGAACATTTGCTCCTCGGAGATAGGGCAGAGTCAGCCATTTTCAGTCACAGGAAAAGAGACTCTCTGAGGATAAAAAAGTATATCCCTGCCAAGACCATCATCAGCTTTTATTCCTTTTGTTAAAGCGAAAAAAGGCCATGATAGCTGTAGGTGTTAAGAATGGGGCTGCAGCCCCATCTGGATTTTTATTGTGATCTGAGTGATAGGGAGTCAGGGGCGCTGGAAAAGGGCAGCACATTGGCTGCAAGTATCTGCATGTGATTTACCGGCCTGCTGAATTTTGGTTTTCATTAAATGAGGAAAACAATAGGCTAGGTCATTTTGGAATCAAGTATCAAAATCTTACTAACAAAATACGTTGTACTTAGAGTATAACCACAAAGCTGAAAGGTCGAATTATCTTCAGTTTTGGAATTCAGTTTCTAATTTCCTCATAGAGAATTAAAAAGGGCCTGACCAACCCCAGTAATTACCCTGTTCCTATGCCAGTGACCAAGCCAAGCGAGGAAATGGATCAGCAGTTAAGTGAAAATCCCAGTGATGACAGACCCTAATGGCCACTGACTAGGGGCGTTGGCAAGTGGAACACTGAGTGGATGACGTCCCCTCATGCAGCCACAAATTCTAGTGCTCTTTAGTTCCAGGTGGCCTCTATGGGTGGGAGGGCACAAAGGGCTCATGACAGACCACCAGCACTTCTCCAGAACCCAGAGTTGTGGTTCTGGTCTCACTCTGTTGCCCAAGCTGGAGTGTAGTGGCACAGTCACGTCTCACTGCATCCTCCATCTCCCAGGCTCAAGTGATCCTCCCACCTCAGCCTCCTGAGTATCTGGGACTACAGGCCGGCACCATAGCACCTGGCTAATTTTAACTTATTTTTTGTAGAGATGGGGGTCCGGTCGCCCTGTGTTGCCCAGAGTGGTCTTGAATTCCTGAGCTCAAGCAATCCTCCCACCTCAGCCTCCCAAAGTATTGGGACTACAGGCTTGAGCCACCACCCGCAGCAGAGCTTTTTAAAAAGAACACCAAAACAAGAAAATGAACAGAATTGATGTTCTGAGACCTTTTGGCATGAGCCACCACAAAGAATCACATCACAAAGATCAGCATCACAAAGAATCATAGAGGCACGATTTGATGGATGACATCACACCAAGAACAAATCTCTGCTGGTGTGTGCAGGTCTTTGCCATTCTTTTGATGCTCAAATATCCCAAATTGACCAATCCTTTTGGATGTTTCCCTGACAATCTATGAGCAATTCCTTGCTTTCTGGAAGCATAAAATGTCCCAGGCTCTCCTTTTTCTCTATCCTATCCCTGGAATCTGCTGTTTCCTCAAGGATCCCTGGTTCCTTTTATTGGGAAATGCTGTTTGGAATCTAAGATCTTGGTGCATACTGTACTGTACCCATTGCCACTGGAGTGTTGTTACTTTTAGGCCGTTCATTATCACGATTCTTGATTTTTTATAGGTGAGTTATTTCCTTCTCTCTGGAACATGTTAGGATCTTTTATTTATGAGCATGCCTTAAAGTAGGTACATTTTCATTCACTGTTTTGGATGCTTGGCATCCCTTACAATCTAGAGATTCCATTCTGGGACATTCTTTTGTCATTTCCTTCCCTCTGTTTTTCTGTATTTTCTCTTGCTGCAACTCCTACTGGTCAGATTTAGAACTCCCGGATTGTCCGAGCATGGTGGCTTATGCCTGTAATCCCAGTACTTTGGGAGGCCAAGGTAGGTGGATCATTTGAGGTCAGGAGTTTGAGACCAGCCTGGTCAATATGGTGAAACCCCGTCTCTACTAAAAATAAAAAAATTAGCTGGGTGTGGTGGCACATGCCTGTAGTCCCAGCTACTCGGGAGGCTGAGGCAGGAGAATCACTTGAACCTGGGAGGTGGAGGTTGCAGTGAGCTGAGATCACGCCACTGCACTCCAGCCTGGGTGACAGAGCAAGACTCTGTCTCAAAAAAAAAAAACCAAAAAACAAAAAAACAAAAACAAAGAACTCCTGGATCAATCCTCTAAGTTTCCTAGTTTTTCCTCTGTGATACTGTCTAGTTTACTTATTGTTTTTCTTTCTGATTTGAACAACAGCAGGCATACATTTTTTTACCCTTTGAGGGTTATTTCCATTTTATTTATGAAGCAGAATAGGTATGTGTATATATGTCATAGAAGCCAGGCCCTATGCTTTCCTCTCCATGAATGCCTTCTTCATCTGCCCAGTTACTCCTTCCTCATGAGGTGAGTCCTGTCCTGTCCTGTCAGCTGTGCTTCCTAAAGATCACTAGAGTCTGTTCATACCTCTGGGCCACTGTCATCCTTGGCCTCGATTACTGCAATAGCCTGATACCTTGCCTTGTGTCTTATTTCCTTCTCAGCCTTTCTCTGCCTTGTATCAGTGTTGTCTTCAGAACACAGATCTTATTATAATTTTTTTTCTAAGCGACAAGGTCTTGGCATGTTGCTCAGGCTGGACTTGAATTCCTGGGCTTAAGCAGTCTTCCTGCTTCAGCCTCCTCAGTAGCCGGGACCACAGGCATGTGCCATCATACCCAGCTACATTATTAATTTTAAGTGGCCCTCCCAATGCCTTCCTGATAAAGTCCACACTAGTTCTCAATGATCTAGTCATTGCATTCCCTGTCACTAGAATTACACACCCCACCATACTGACTCACTTCAAGTTCATCAGTTGCACCAGAATGCTGGGCCTGGCCTCTGACACTTTCTCTTTTTTTGAGACAGAATCTTGCTCTGTCACCCAGGCTGGAGTGTAATGGCACGATCTCGCCTCATGGCAACCTCCACCTCTCGGGTTCAAGTGATTCTTGTGCCTCAGCCTCCCGAGTAGCTGGGATTACGGGCACGCACCACCATGCCCGGCTAATTTTTTTTTTTTTTTTGTATTTTTAGTAGAGACAGGGTTTCACCATGTTGCCCAGGCTGGTCTCGAACTCCTGAGCTCAGGCAATCTACCCACCTCAGCCTTCCAAAGTGCTAGGATTACAGGCGTGAGCCACCATGCCCGGCCCTCTGATACTTTCATTAAACTTTTCCCAGTGGCTGGAATACCTTCCCCCTCCTGCCAATTACTGTTCTTCCCTCTCTGCTTCCTCCTCCAACCCCCACCTCAGCATACATCTTGCTTTAGCTACTGCTGACTTTTTTTTTTTTTTTTTTGAGCTTAGGTTGGGCATCCTTTTCTCTTAAGAAATCTTCCCTTCTTTCATGCTCCCCTAGGATCCTGTATTTCCCTAGTCATAGCATCCGTCACTGACTGATTGACATTTACTTGTCTGTATTCTCCACCGCACTGGAACCCCCTTGAAGGGAGGCACTCTATTCTATTCATTGTTGGATCACTAGTGCTAACTCACATGGCAAATAGTGACTGATGATATTTGTTAAATTAATGAATATGAATAAGGGTTCAGAAACTGTTATTTTACATGTTTTTCCAGAAATCAAGATCACTACAGCTACCTGAAGTGAACATGTAGAAAATGTTTACTACATGGTTGCTAAATTGAATGAGAGCATTTTGTTTGTTTGGCATTGATGAAGATGACACTATTGCTCATGAAATAGCAATTCAGCCCCACTGTAGGAGCTGGCAGACATACGGAGATATCTTACCAAAGGGGGCCAGGCTCTTATTTTTGCCTAAAAGTACTTCCCATTCCCACCCTGCCTGTGCCCAAGATGCTGGATTATTGAGATCTGACAGTGTAGGCACAAGGGACCAGGCGTGCATCTCCTCTCTGCTTTGTGTGACACACCGGGAACCAGAGTGATAAGGAAAACCAATTGTATTCGTAGAGTCAGTCCTGGAATTGAGGAGACCAGCGTGTCCTTTGAACGTGCTAGAAAATATGACTGTGCTCCTTAAAGGATAAAATACGACTCTGCGCCTCCAAAAAAGGATCAGATAAAGATTTCACATACACATCAGTGATTTACCATGGTAAGGGGCTCTTAGAACTGCTCAGCTGAATTTTCATGTTAAAAGTTTAGAAGAACAGCGTGGTAGGCTGAATAATGACCCCCAAAGATATCCTAGTCCCGATCCCTGGAATCTATGAATGTTACCTTAAATGGCAAAAGGGACTTTGCAGATGTGCAAAGTCCAGATTGCCACGGTGGGTAGATTATCCTGGATTATCCCAGTGAACCCTAAGTGCGATCCCAAACGTCCTTACAAAGGGGAGGCAGAGGGAGTTTGAAACGGAAGATTGAAGCAGTGCAGTGACTGAAGCAGGATGCTACGCTGCTGACTCTGAACGTGGAGAACGGAGCCATGAGCCAAGGGTACAAGGAATGAAGCTCTAAAAGCTGGAATAAAGCCAGGAAATGGATTCTTCCTGAGAGCTTCTGCGGGGGTCGCCTCAATTTCAGTCCAGTGAAACTGGTTTCAGACTTCTGATCTCTAGAACTAAAGGGAGTAAATGCCTATTGTTCCAGGCTACTCAGTGTGTGATAATTTGTTAGAGTAGCAACAGGAATCTAATAGAAGTAATCATGGTGTCTTTTTGTGAATTGTCATTGAATTGAGGTTAGCCACCCTTTTGCTAAGAAATGTTTATAGTCATTTGTGTCTACAGCTCCTCTGAACTCTTGAAGAGATTTCTTTTTTGTTTTGTTTTGTTTTTTGAGACGCAGTTTCGCTCTTGTTACCCAGGCTGTAGTGCAGTGGCGCGATCTCGGCTCACCATAACCTCCGCCTCCCGGGTTCAACCCATTCTTCTGCCTCAGCCTCCCAAGTAACTGCAATTACAGGTGCATGCCACCACACCCAGCTAATTTTTGTATTTTTAGTAGAGACGGGGTTTCTCCATGTTGGTCAGGCTGGTCTCGAACTCCGGGTCTCAGGTGATCTGCCTGCTGTGGCCTCCCAAAGTGCTGGGATTACAGGCGTGAGAGATTTCTTAAAAGCAGACTTTACAGAAAGAAGTTTTCGTTGCTGGTGCACAAGTCACTATCAGAAGCCTCTCAAATGCCTCTCAAACTGTTTATTTAGCACTTTGATAATGGAATTAATCATGTACTGGTGAAATGTGAGGAAAGTTTGGTGAAGGAATTTCTTCATGTATTATCTGATATCAGAATTCCCCAAAGTATGCTAGGCAAATTTATTTTAGATAATATACAGAGAAAGATCTTGTATTTTAATAGTTGTATATTTCATTGTGTGATAGAAATAAAAATGGCTAGCATCTGAAAACTGATTTCTCGGCAATATAAAATTTCTTTATTCATTTAACTTGTATAAGCCAGAAAAATAGTACAGATGAAATATGAACGAGGCAAAAAAAAAATTCTGTAGGTGGTATTTGAAATGCTGAAGTTTGAGAAACATTGCTGTAAGACGATTAAAAAAAAATAGGGACAGGGTCTTGCTGTGTTGCTCAGGCTGGAATGCAGTGTCTATTCACAGGCTCGATCATGGTACACTGTGGCCTGGAGCTCCTGGGATGAAGCCATCCTCCTGCCTGAGCCTCCCAACTAGCTGGGACTATGGGCATGTCCCACCACGCCTGGCTTAGAAGATTCTTTTTGTTAAAGTCTAGGTTGCCATAGAACAGCGGTCCCCAACCTTTTTGGCACCAGGGACCAGTTTTGTGGAAGACAGTTTTTCCATGGACCAGGATGGGGGGTAGTTTCAGGACGAAACTGTTAAACCTCAGATCACCAGGCATCAGATTGTCGTAAGGAGTGTGCAACCTAGATCCCTCGCATGCACAGTTCACGATGGGGTTTATCCTCCTATGAGAATCTAATGCCACTGCTGATCTGATGGGAGGTGGAGCTCAGGCAGTAATGCTCACTTGCCTGCTGCTCACGTCCTGCTGTGTGGCTCGGTTCCTAACAGGCCATGGACTGGTGTTGGTCTGCGGCTTGGGGTGGGGGACCCCTGCTATAGCATACTTCATTTTTGGTTCCATCCTAGTATGATGCCATGTGGTTTAATATGTGACCTATTCCCACTTGACCCTCCTGGTGATAAGAGCACATGTTAGACCAGGGGAGGGGTTGGAAGATCTATTGAAACAATGCCCTCCAGCCTGTGAGCTCAGAGCTGTGTAACGTAATGGCTATGGCAGGAGTGATGTTGTCTGATGCTACACCCCTAGAATTTAAGTACGTTTGCCTTTTGAAGGAAGCAAGACAGTTAGAAACCGCTGTCCTTTAAAGGAAATATGGAATGATTTGAAGTGGAAGGAGTTCCTGTTACTCTTTGGCAGGTGGAACGTGAGCAGGAAGACACGCTCATCCACAGCCCAGAGCTGTAACCCGGAAGAGCTATGCTGAGGACTTTGGGTGCACTTCCTGGTGGCATGAGGCACTTTATGGGTCAAGCAGTCTTTTAGAAATTGGCATAGGAGGCCGGGCACGGTGGTTCACGCCTATAATCCCAGCACTTTGGGAGGCCAAGGCAGATGGATCACGAGGTCAGGAGATAGAGACCATCCTGGCTTACATGGTGAAACCTGTCTCTACTAAAAATACAAAAAATTAGCCAGGTGTGGTGGCGGGTGCCTGTAGTTCCAGCTACTCGGGAGGCTGAGGCAGGAGAATGGCATGAACCCAGGAGGCGGAGCTTGCAGTGAGCTGAGATCATGCCACTACCCTCCAGCCTGGGCGACAGAGCAAGGCTCCACCTCAAAAAAAAGAAAGAAAGAAAGAAAGAAATTGGCATAGGAACCTAACACCTGCCCCCTCCAAATGTGGAGTATAGACACACATTGATGTCAGATGAGGAAAGGGTTTTCTCTACGTGGCTGTGTTAGTCTGAATTCAGGTTTTCTTTATTGAGATTTCATTCAGCGGACTTTGGC
Organism: Homo sapiens; assembly: GCF_000001405.40. Lineage (NCBI taxonomy): Eukaryota > Metazoa > Chordata > Mammalia > Primates > Hominidae > Homo > Homo sapiens. Next base: position 9,480,728 of record NC_000017.11, on the reverse strand, counting down.
TGGCTGCTAGGATTCATGGAGTGGCTTCTCAAGTCTGCATTTCATTCATAAATAAACTTGCAAGTTGCTTCGTCTCAGAGAATTTTGGACCAGAATGAGTTTATGAGGTCATCCTTCTCCCCTACCCCATGCCATCTTTCCATCTTTTGGAAGGACTTCCATTTAGTGATCTGTGACCTAGAGAGTCACCTGTACTTTCTAAGATCTTCCCGGAAGTTGATGTGCAAAATCAGCAGCAGTGGCAGCAACTCACCTTTCTGCTGTCCACATTTGTACACATCTGTTTGAACATTTTACTGACTAGCTCCGTAGCTATCCTTTAATCTAGATTAAATAAACTTTTTCTTTTCCTAATAAGAAAAAGTGTTATTAAACATAGTAAGGTATTTTTCCTAAATCCAAAATAATATATTTCCTTCCTCAGTACATTCTCCAAATTGTTTATTCGTTAAACAAATGTTGAACTCCTATTATGTGCTAAGCACTGTGCCAGAATCCACATATACATGTCATGTCTGTTGTCACGGCTCCTTCCCCTCCTGGAGTATTTGTTCTCATCAGGGAGGCAGCTGCTGGACAGATACTGCACAGATACACAGTTAGAGACGGTGATAACACAGGGACCTATTCGAATGTGAAACAGAAGAACTGGCATGGTTTGAGGGTTAGAAAAGCCTTTCCTGGGAAAATGATATTTGAACAGATTGAAAAGGATAAACAGCAGTTACCTGTATGAAAAGCAAAGGGAAGACCCTTGCAAACAGAGGGAAGGGCATAGGCAAAGGGCCTTTACGCAAAGGAGCGTAACATGGTTGAGAACCTTGAGAGAAGGCCAGTCAGTCAGTGTACCCAGGGTCTAGAGAGCATGGGCAGGAGGGGGCCAGGAGAGCTGGCAGGAGGGGGCCAGGAGAGCTGGCAGGAGGCGGGGGTTAGGGCTTGTGGTGTCGGTGTGACCATCACCCTATGCTATAAAGTAGAGTCAGTGGTTTCAATGTAAAATTACTTAATTTGCTACTTATGGATTCTGTAATTTTGTCTATATAATTTACTGAAAATCAGGGAGACATAAAATTCTCCCATGCATATAATTTATATATATTATATATAATTTATAAAATACATCTATACTTAAATTTAAAATACATGAATATATACTTAATATATATTTATATATATAATACATGTATATTATGCATACTTTATCTATAACATGTATTCCCAGGCTGGAGTGCAGTGGCACGATCTCAGCTCACTGCAACCTCTGCTTCCTGGGTTCAAGCGATTCTCCTACCTCAGACTCCCAAGTAGCTGGGATCACAGGCATGTGCCACCATGCCCAGCTAATTTTTGTATTTTTAGTAGAGATGGGTTTTCGCCATGTTGGCCAGGCTGATCTCAAACTCCTGACCTCAGGTGATCCACCCACCTCAGCCTCCCAAAGGGCTGGGATTGCAGGAGTGAGCCACCGCGCCTGGCCTATATATGGTATACTATATATTAAGTATATATATTTTTTCATTGTCCCACAGCCAATAGCATATCTAAACTGAGAGAGTTTAGCCACTTTTGGGGAGAAGAAATAGCCATATTGGCAAGGGGGTGTTTATCCATTCAACAGGTGTTTACCAAGTACCAGCTGCATGTGTGACTGGTCCCCTAGATAGTGAAAAACAGCAATAACAACTAAAAGTCCCTTCCTTTATCATTCCTACACTCTAGTGTCGGGAGGGAGACATTCAACAAATACATCTCAAAATAAGGTATTTTATCAGATTTTAATAAGTACTGTCAAGGAAAAGGACAGGAGGCTGTGGAAGGGATGGTGAGGAGGCAGCTGCTGCAGCTTCAGGAATGGGCCGAAGGGAGCTGATGAGGAGGTGGCCAGTGAAGAGTCGCAGGGAAAACGGGGATATCTCCTGTGAGATCTCAGAGGCTACAGAGAACTTTGCAAGCTGGAGAAATCAAAAGGCTTTATATTTCTGCATAAATGTATAATGTGGCTGGAAAACAGCAAGTGACAAGAATCATGTACCCAGATGAAGTTGTGGAGGGGTCATGAGACAGGACGCAGAGGGCTTCACAGTGTGAAAACCTCACAGGCCCTGAAAACTATAAGGTATTTATATTTTTCTAGGAAGGACTTTGTTTTTTTAGTCACAATCAATAGTCTCAGTCAGGAAACATTTATGCTAATAGTAATTTGGGACAGGACTAGGGCTCCATGCTAATGTATACCGTTTCTCCTTTGCATGTATACAAAAGACCGTAAGTCGGCCTTCAAATAGCATTTCAGGGCTGGGCGCAGTGGCTGGAGCCTGTAATCCCAGCACTTTGGGAGGCCAAGGAGGGCAGATCACCTGAGGTCAGGAGTTCGAGACCAGCCTGGCCAACATGGCGAAACCCCGTCTCTACTAAAAATACAAAAATTAGCTGGGTGTGATGGTGCACGCCTGTAATCCCAGCTACTCAGGAGGCTGAGGTAGGAGAATCACTTGAACCCGGGAAGCAGAGGTTGTAGTGAGGCGAGATTGCACCACTGCACTCCAGCCTGGGCGACAGAGCTAGACTCCGTCTCAACAAAATAAAAAAAACTGTTCTCATATTCTTAGCTGAGCTTGAAAGCAACAAAGGGAGTTCTCCAGGTGCCAGAAATGAAGAAACTTACCTACACCAGTGAGTGAGTGAAGCCTCATGGCCCTCAGAGATAACCAAACCACATATGTAGCTTAGGGACCTGCATTTCCACACCCGTGTGGATATGGGAGTTGAGGTTATAGGGCCTACGCATTGCAGGCAGCTGAAAGTGGGCTTTCCAAATAAAGCTAGAAGCTGGGAAATGACAGCTTTATGGGAAAATTTCCCCCTTCCCCACCCAAGAATGGGATACTCAGGCCACCCACCTTGGGCCACAGCCACCCCCACATATTTAACATGCATACCTAAGTTTACATTTTTCTAACAAAGTCTAAAGCAAATAAATATCTTGGAATAAATCAAGTTTAGAATTCTTAAACTTCCCTTTAAACTCTTCATCTTCTGTTTTGTTTTCAACCGAAGCCCCCTTTTATTTCTGTAGTCAGTATTTTATTTACATTTACCAACATGTTTTACTGACTGCTGTTACAATTGCTGTATCCATTTTATTACTCAGCTCTTCTCACTGATTTTTAAAATTTTGAGAATGATAGTTTTAAACACCAAGAGGTTTTAATGTTCATGATTGCTTTTTTTTTCCACACAAGTGTGTATATAAGGTTGTAAACTTTTTAATCCTTTGAATGGCACTAGTTAGAACTTTAAAAAATGGTGAGTGTTTTTGCTCCTTTTGTTATTTCTGTTTCTTCTCTAGGTAAGTTTTGGTTTATTCATCTTAGTCTTTCTCTTTTATGCTGCTATGGGCTGAATTATATGTCACCCCCCAAATTCAAATGTTGAAGTACTAACCCCCTACTACTTCAGATTGTGACTTTATTTAGAGATAGGGTCTTCAGAGATAATTAGGTTTAAATGGGGCCACTGTGGTGGGCCCTAATCCAATATGCCTGGTATCCTTTTAAGCAGAGGAACCTGAAGCTGGGCACGGTGCCTTGTGCCTGTAATCCTAGCACTTTGAGAAGTCGAGGTAGGTGGATTACTTAGGCCCAGGAGTTTGAGACCAGCCTGGGAAATACAGGGAGACCCCATCTCTACAAGAAATAATAATAATAATAAAAAAATTAGCCTAATGTGGTGGTGTACACCTGTAGTACCAGCTACTCAGGAGGCTGAGGTCGGAAGATCACTTGAGCCCGGGAGGTCAAGACTGCAGTAAGCCATGATTGCACCACTGTGCTCCAGCCTGGGCAACAGAGTGAGACCCTGTCTCACAAAAAAAAGAAAAAGAGGCACGTGGGACACAGACACATGCAGAGGGCAGGCCACGTGAGGACACGGAGAAGACAAGCCAAGGAAAGAGGCCTCAGAAGAAATGACCTCTGGCTGGGTGCGGTGGCTCACACCTGTAATCCCAGCACTTTGGGAGGCCGAGGCAGGCGGGTCACCTGAGGTCAGGAGTTCAAGACCAGCCTAGCCAGCATGGTGAAACCCCATCTCTACTAAAAATATAAAAATTAGCTGGGTGTGGTGGCATGTGCCTCTAATCCCAGCTACTTGGGAGGCTGAGCCAGGAGAATAGCTTGAACCCGGGAGGTGGAGGTTGCAGTGAGCCGAGATTGTGCCACTGCAATCCAGCCTGAGTGACAGAACGAGACTCTATCTCAAAAAAAAAAGAAAAAAAAAAGAAAAGAAGAAACAACTTCCGCTCACATCTATACCTTGGACTTCTAGCCTCAAGAATTGTGAGAAAGTTAATGTTATTTAAGCTCCCTAGTCTGTAGTACTTTGTTATGGCAACCTTTACAAACTAATACACATGCTATGGGCTTTTCCTCACGTCTGCTAATTCTTCATTGATTCTTCATATTTATGAATGAAGGACCATATTGATTTGTATAGGTAGCTGCAATAGGCTTTCTTTGTATTTGGGTAGGTTTCGTTTTGTTTTGTTTTCTGAGACGGAGTCTCGCTCTGTCGCCCATGCTGGAGTGCAGTGGCACGATCTCGCCTCACTGCAACCTCCGCCCCCCGGCTTCAAACGATTCTTCTGTCTCAGCCTCCTGAGTAGTTGGGATTACAAGCATGTGCCACCATACCCAGCTGATTTTTGTATTTTTAGTAGAGATGGGGTTTCACCATGTTGGTCAGGCTGGTCTCGAACTCCTGACCTCGTGATCCGCCGACCTTGACCTCCCGAAGTGCTGGGATGACAGGCGTGAGCCACCACGGGCGGCCCTTTAGGCAAGTTTATTTACCCGAAAGGCTTCTTTCTTGAGTGGGAAGACAGGCTGTGATGTGTACTCTGTGTAAATGGGCAAGATATGCCAGTCGGCAGGTTTCTTTCTAGGATATATGGTTAGGTAAAAGAGGGCACAAGCCGATTCAGGACCATTTGCTATAACAAAACTAATAACATAAGGAGAACTCCAATCTTGGGGTGACATCTTTTATATGTTTTATTTCTTTTTACCCCTGTGTCTATCCTAGAGGCTCTTCTTTGACTCATTCTCTAGCCTGGACACCAACACCATGCGCACTCCCAGGCAAACTTTCCTCTCCAGAGAAGGCTGTTCCGGGGGTTCCAGCTGGGGGCAAGTACTGCAGACTGCAGTCTACACAGGGCAGGGCTGTGGGCAGACTGGCTCAGCTGTTCTGTAGACAGCTCTCCACTCAGATGCCCTGATTCCTGCCTTATAACCACTTCTTTGTAGGCCATTCTGTGGCTGCCAATAGCCATTGACTCTAAGCTTGGAGCCTCTCCAGGGTTCTGTCAAAAAGAAAGAGCTTCTTATCTGCAGCCTGATGTATTTCCAGCTGTATTTCACCCATTCCCCACCCCCAGTTTTGGTTTATTGGTCAATACAGTCCCAACTCTATTCTTGAAGAGAATCTCCAAAATGATGTCTTCATTGATAACGCTTCTTCGTGTCTTCAGTGCCACCATGGATTTATTCTTTCAAAAATAGCTTGACTGCCATTTCATTGTGCTCTTTGGAATGAAGGAGGCAACCATGTGTGCTTTCTCTACTGTTTGGAGCTCAAAGTCTCTCTCTTTTGCATTTTTTTACCAGGTCATAGTATCTATAGAAATCATTTTGCTGAAACAGCTGGTGTTCTGGAGGCTTCAGTAAAACAAGTTTTTTTTGTTTGTTTTTGTTTTTTGCTACAGAGTCTTGCTCTGTCGCCCAGGCTGGAGTGCAGTGGCATGATATCAGCTCACTGCAACCTCTGCCTCCTGGATTCAAGCGATTCTCCTGCCTCAGCCTCCCGAGTAGCTGGGATTACTGGCATGCACCACCACGCCCAGCTAATTTTTTGTATTTTTAGTAGAGACAGGGTTTCACCCTGTTAGCCAGGATGGTCTCGATCTCCTGACCTCATGATCTGCCCGCTTCAGCCTCCCAAAGTGCTGGGATTACAGGCGTGAGCCACTGTGCCTGGCTGGGAACCCTTCGCTTTATAGCCAGTTGGACTAAAGTACTTGGGGATACCCCAGGACTAATGGCTGGTATCTGAAGTTAGAACAGTCTTGTGGGATCAAGCCCTTAAACCTGTGGAGTCTGATGCTAACTCTGGGTAATGTCAGAATTGAATTGTTGGCTACCCAGTTAGTGGCACCTGTAGTCCCAGCTACTTGGGAGGCTGAGGCAGGAGAATCACTTGAACCCGGGAGGCGGAGGTTGCAGTGAGCCAAGATTGCGCCATTGCACTCCAGTCTGGGTGACAGAGTGAGACTCCATCTCAAAAAGAAAGAAAAAAACTGAGGGGTTCCCATGACCCCCCTTCAGGATTTGATAACTTACTAGAATGACTCACTGAACTCAGGAAAGCACTATACTTACTATTACAGTTTTATTAAAAGGATCCAACTCGGGGACAGTCAAATGGAAAAGGCACAGTATATAGGGCAAGGTATAGAGGTTGGGGTGGTGGTACAGAGCTCCCATGCCCTCTCCATGTATCACCCTCTCCATGTATCACCCTCTCCTTGTCCCCCAACTCCTGCCCCAGCACACTGATGTGTTCACCAATCCAGCAGCTCCCTGAACCTTGTTCAAGGGTTTTTATGGAGACTTCTTTACATAGGCACGATCGATGACATCATCAGCCACTTGACTGACCTTGATCTCCAGCCTCCCTCCCCTCCCTGGGGGTTGGGAGTTGGCCTGAAAGTTCCAGCCCTCTAGCCATTGGTATGGCTAGCCCTTTCTTTGAAATTGTCTAAGAGCCTACCGTGAGTTATTATCTGATGTGTTCATAGATGAATTTCCCCAAAGAAATTAGCAGGAGTCCAAAAAGACTCATCATGAATAACAAAAGACACGTCTAGCACTCAGGAAATTCCAAAGGTTTTTGAAGCTCTGTGCCAGGAACCTGGGGTAAAGACCAAACATATGTATACTTGGCCCTCTGTATCTGTGGGTTCCGCATCCATGAATCCAACCAACTGAGAATCAAATTTTTTTTTTAAAAATGGATGGTTGAATCTGCACTGAACATGTGCAGACTTTTTTCTTGTCACGATTCTCTAAACCATATAGCGTAACATCTATTACATAGCATTTCCATTGTATTAGGGATTATGAGTAATCTAGAGATGACTTAAAGTTATACGGGAGGATGTGTGTAGGTTATATGTAAATGCTACACCATTTTATATATGGGACTTGAGCATCCATGGATTTTGTATATGGAAGGGGTGGTCCTGGAACCAATCCCGCAAGATACCAAGGGATGACTATATTTTTATTATATTACAGCAAGGAAACCAGAGTCTTTGAATCTGCTAACTGTGCAGAAAAGATCCTGAGACATGGCTGGGCACGGTGGCTCATGCCTGTAATCCCAGCACTTTGGGAGGCCAAGACGGGCAGATCACTGGAGGTCAGGAGTTCGAGACCAGCCTGGCCAACATGGTGAAACCCCGTCTCTACTAAAAAAATACAAAAATTAGCCAGGTGTGGTGGTGGGCACCTGTAGTCCCAGCTACTCAGGATGCTGAGGCAGAGGTTGCAGTGAGCTGAGATTGTGCCACCGCACTCCAGCCTGGGTGACAAGAGCAAAACTCCATCTCAAAAAAAAAAAAAGAAAAAAAGATCCTGAGACACATGCATGGTGTTTGTCCTATGACTTTGCTGCTAGCTTTAGCTCTGGTGATGGGTTTGGCCAGCTTTGAGTCACAAGGACCTTTTGCTGCTTCTGCCCTAGTTCCTCCCTGACTTTTTTCTTCTAGGCCCATATACTGGTCTTGACCCTGGCCACGCAGCCAGGCTGAGAAGCCATCTAACTAGAAAGGGATGAGGGTTTTCCAAGGAAAAGCTGTGGAAACACTTGTCAAGGAAAAGGCCATCTCTCCTCAGGCCCTGGGACAGCTGGCCTGGGTGACTCACCCGGCTTCCTTTCCCCTGAACTTCATTCACCGCTGTTCCTATTTGACCTCCAAGAGGGAGGCTACCACAGGCCCATCCAGCTGTAGCAGCTGAATTGGAGAAGGGACTTCAAAAAAGCAAGCCAAAAAGAGAGGCCAAAGAGAACCTCAAAGGAACAGCCAAAGTAATCACAGATGCAAAGAGCAGGTTGCTCTGGAAGCTCTACCTCTTGCCACTTTGGCCCTAGTCATACTGTTTCTCCTCCTCAGTGCCTCTGCAGGAAGGGGAATCTTGGTCTCTCCTTGGAGGCTACGGTGGGGGTCCCCAAGACAACCTCCAGGTTTAGTGGTTTGCTAGGAGGACTCAAAGGATTCAGCTTATACTCACCTACCCACTAAAATGTACTTAAAACCCCCAAGTGAATACTAGCAGTACTCTCGCATTTACTCATGGACGTGGATAAAGTGGCAAAAGGTTTGACTCACCCCACAAGCACATTCCCAGCCGAGGTTGAACAAGGTGATGCCCTGCCTTTTGTTTCGGCCTCAGAGAGGGATGACCAGTGGACACTCTGGCTCTGGGGCCAGACAGACAGGCTTAAATCCCACCTCTGGCTCCTCTTAGTGGAGCAGCCTCAGGCAAGTTATGTAACACTTCAGAACTTTGTTTTTTCTTTTGAAAAAAAAAAAAAAAAGGAATCTACCAGGATGAGTTGTTTTTAGGATTTAATATTATGATCTGTGTGGGGTATGTACAGATAGAGGTACATGTCTCCCTCAGGAACATCAGTTGAGTATTTGCTAATTCAGTGTTCATGGTGACTTTATGGAACATAATTACTGTGAATAGCGGGAATGGACTGTAGTTATCCTCATGATTATGATTTATCATAGCAAAAGGATACAAAGCAAAATCAGCAAAGGGAAAAGGCTCCTGGTTGAAGTGCTGGGGAAACCAGGTGCAAGATTCCAAGCATCCTCTCCCAGTGGAATCCCACAGGGTGCACAGAATTACCCCAACGATGAGTTGTGACAGCACGTGCGACATATTACCAACCAGGAAGGCTCATTAGAGACTCAGTGCCCGGGGTTTTTTGAGGGTCTTGGTCACATAGGCACCCTGTCTGGCATGTACCCACATCCCAGACTCCCAGAAGGAAACCAGGTGTTAATGAAACAGAGCATTGATACAGCTTAGGCACAGATTGCCACTCTTACCAGTTAATGGCGGGTCCTTCCCAAAATCCAAGCTCCAGGATGCCAGCCAGGGAAGGGCCAACCTTGGCAGCAGTGCCTTGTTAAGAAAAGCAGTTAGGGCCGGGCGCGGTGGCTCATGCCTGTAATCCCAGCACTTTGGGAGGCCGAGGTAGGTGGATCATGAGGTCAGGAGTTCGAGACCAGCCTGGCCAAGATAGTGAAACCCTGTCTCTAATAAAAAATATAAAAATTAGCTGGGTGTGATGGCGGGCGCCTGTAATCCCAGCTACTCGGGAAGCTGAGGCAGGAGAATTGCTTGAACCCGGGAGGCGGAGGTTGCAGTGAGCCAAGATCATGCCACTGCATTCCAGCCTAGGCGACAGAGTGAGACTGTCTCAAAAAAAAAAAAAAAAAAAAGCAGGGTGCGGTGGCTCACGCCCCGGGAGGCGGAGGTTGCAGTGAGCCAAGATCACGCCACTGCATTCCAGCCTAGGTGACAGAGTAAGACTCTGTCAAAAAAAAAAAAAAAAAAAAAAAGCAGGATGCAGTGGCTCACGCCTGTAATCCCAGCACTTTGGGAGGCCGAGGCAGGTGGATCACGAGGTCAGGAGATTGAGACCATCCTGGCTAACACAGTGAAACCCCATCTCTACTAAAAAAAAAAAATACAAAAAATTAGCCAGGCATGGTGGCGGGCACCTGTAGTCCCAGCTACTCAGGAGGCTGAGGCAGGAGAATGGTGTGAACCTGGGAGGCGGAGCTTGCAGTGAGCCGAGATTGTGCCACTGCACTCCAGCCTGGGAGACAGAGTGAGACTCTGTCTCAAAAAAAGAAAAAAGAAAAAAGCAGTTAGGCCTGCTGTGTTAGCTTTTTCTGCATAGAGGCCTACACCAAATATGACTTATTTATCATGTTACTTTTCCTGTTTGGAGAATCAATGAAAGAATGAGAATGCTTAATTCCTGAGAAAAGTAGATGCATGCTCTTTAGAAGGAAAAAGATACAGAAAGAAGGTGAAAGCCGCTTAAGACAAATTGTAGCTCTTCACAGTTTCATTCATTATTGAAGATCTTTAGCTGAGCTTGGCTTATCCTCAGAGTTCTCTGAGAATGTGCTTCTCAAAGTGGAAATTGTTTAGCATATGGGGTGGTGAAAAGGACTGAAGAACTTTGGTAATAAAAACCAAAGCAGCAGGAAGGAAGTGGTCTGATTAGAACCAAGTGCTTGAGCAGGGAAAGACAGCGTAAGAAAGAGACTGAAGCTGCTGAGTAGTTGTTTCAAGTAATTTCAAATCCTTAAAGGAGCTTGAACTGGAAGGTAATGTGGTCTCAACGGTTTATTCTGGGAAGAGACACGACATTCTCTTTCCATCTAGACAGTCCTGCCAGGAGGGTGAAATCTTTGAGAAAGCATTTTGAATGCAGTGATAAGGACTCTTTATTATTTTTGTTGTTGTTTTTATTTTAACCATTTCAAACAGTAGTTGGGGAACTGAATTGACATCAAAGGTAGAACAGTTCTGTCAACCAATTTGGTTAGTTTGAAATCCACAAGCACAATTAAAAAAAATTTATTATGTCCTGAGGAATTAACAGCTAGTGGTTTAGAGTATGTTTCAGTGATAAGCGTTTTGTATCTATGAACAGGTGAATTTAGGAGACCCTCCAAGGTGTTTCTGTACTCCCTTGGGTCATTTGAACAGGATAATTTGAGGTCCTGTGTCCAAGAGTGACCCTCCTCTCTGCTTCTGGATTCACTCCTAGCTCGTGTAGGATTCATGTTGCTAAACTCATTCCAAACTTGGCCATCTCTAGGGGTGACGATAAGGTGAAGACTCATTTTACCATTTTCTTTTGTCAGCCAATCAAAGAGCCCAAGAGTAGCCATTTTTTGTTTTGCTTTGTTTTATAAACAGGATTTTCTCTGGTACTTTTTTCTTGCCAGAAATGGACAGAGAGCTTTAGGAAGAAGAACTGGTTGTGTTTATGGGAGATATATTTAGGATGGGCTCACGGAGAGTTTGTCCTTGAAGCAACGACTTGGGATGTACATTAATAAGGTGATCCTATTTCTTCTTAATCTTTTATCACTTATGAACATGTAACTGACTAATACCACTGTAATCAGGCCTCAGTTTTCTATGGAAAGGAAGAGAAAGAGACATGGAACATCTTTAGGGGTAGATGTGTGTGTGTGTGTGTGTGTATGAGAGAGAGAGATGAAACAGACTGATGAGAGACAGACATGAACTTAGACTTAGATTTGAATGGGAATATATCTAATGAGCTGGCTTTAAAGTGGGTCAGGACAGCACTCACCTTGCTCAAAGGAGATTGGAGGCTGACCACGTAGCTCAGTGTGCCTCCCTGAGAGTTCTTCTGTGCTCCTTTATCTGATTGGAACCACGCAAATGACCACCTTGGCTGAGCTGCCCAGCCTTCTCCTAGGTTGAGCTTTAACCATCTGTTGGAGGAGGAAAATTCCCAAGATAACAATGAAAGCAATTTTTCTAACCATCTGGCTTAACCTGTACCACTTCCCTTGAAAATTGAATTTCTTTTTCTTCTCCATAGAGGCATTGAGGCACGGGTTGGATTCTCTGGGGAGCAGCCTCGGAGGGGCTTTTGTATGCGGGATGCGTATGAGGAGCACTGATGGGATCAACATTTGTGGGAGGGAGCTGGGCAGCAGGATTAGCAGAGGGAGCGGCTGGCTTTGACGACAGCCCCCTGGGAAGCCCGGGTGCCGAAATGGCCTTCAGGATTGTCCCACGTTGAATTCACATTGCTGGGCTTATATGCCCCAGCCTTGATCAGTCATTGGATGGGGAACACCCTGGGAAGGCCGGGTCCTTGGGCAGGGCAGCTCTATGCCCTTGAGAGGCTGGCAGTTGAAGACCGTCTGCCAAGAGCACTCCCAGCAGCTGAGGCAGAAAGGCCTTGCTTGAAAGAGGAACTGTGTGGTGCGTCTCTGTGCCTGCCACACGTGGGATATTGATCTGCCAGTTTTAAGCATTTGAAAATTGTTAGGTATGGAGTATTAAATCACCTGGGTCGGATGGGGACTGAGTTAACTAGAATACAAGTCTCTGGATGTTATCACCCCATTCCTAACATTTTCGTAAGATGTTTATTAATCCTTGAGATAAAACCACTATATTGCTGGGTGCAGTGGCTCACACCTGTAATCCCAGCACTTTGGGAGGTCGAGGCGGCTGGATCACTTGAGGTCAGGAGTTTGAGACCAGCCTGGCCAACATGGTGAAACCCCGTGTTTACTAAAAATACAAAAATTAGCCGGGTGCGGTGGTGCACGCCTGTAATCCCAGCTACTTGGGAGGCTGAGGCAGGAGAATTGCTTGAACCCGTGAGGCAGAGGTTGCAGTGAGCCGAGATGGTGCCACTGCACTCCAGCCTGGGTGACAAGAGCAAAACTCCATCTCAAAAAAAACCAAAAACAAAATAAAACAAACCTCGCTATATTGTTTCTACGCTATTTCTAACCATAGCTGTGTTACATTTAAAATGTGTAATATTGTGTCTTTTCTCCTATGCCTTTTAGAGTTACATGTGTATTATTATGGCAGCTGTATATTTTAGGACCTTCTGTATTAAAAACTGTTACTCAGTTACAGCTTGTTTGAAAACAACTGGAATCTGTCCTATAGCTCCCACTACTTCAAGATCCATTTCAAACTAACATTTGTAAAAATAGTGGGAGATGGTAGTTGCTGTGCTGGATAAAAGGCCCTGGACGTGCCTGGAACAACTGGGAGGGTCAGAGCAGGCAACCTTGGTCCCCTGCCACCTGGAGTTGCTCCTTGCTTCTCTTCCATGCCCCGAGCCACTCCGGAGAGTGGATTAAGCAGCACAACGCCCTCTTCAGGGGAAAGGGTTTCCCCTGCACTTTGGTGAAGCAAGAGTGCATGGAAGCCATGGTTTGGTCACCTTCATGGTGTTCTTTTCTTCCCTGTTTCCTCTTCCTTTTCCAAAGCGAGCCTTTCTCCAGGATGCTCTTCTCTCAATTAACCAAGCATGCTTCCCACTCCTTAAGGGGAAGAGAGAGGTCTTCCTAGCTTGTTTTCTGCAGTCATTGTTGTCAGGGAGGGGAGTGGATGGATATTCATTCTGTTCCTTAACCCAGGGGAGACTGGATCCTCTGCAACACTGTTGCAGTCCTGAAGCTGGGTACTGCTTTCACCCTCCAGACCCTACAGCATAGCCTTAGTGATTAAGACAGAGAGCTCTGGAAGCCTCTAGGATTTGGCAAATTACTTAACTTCTGTACGCCTCAGTTATCACATTTATAAAGTAGGAAAAATAAGAACCCACCTCACAGAGTTTGTTGTGAGGATCAAATGAGTTAAAAGCATGTAAAAGGCCGGGCACGGTGGCTCACACCTATAATCCCAGCACTTTGGGAAGCTGAGGCGGGTGGATCACCTGAGATCAGGAGTTCGAGACCAGCCTGGCCAACATGGTGTAACCCCATCTCTACTAAAAATACAAAAATTAGCCGGGCGTGGTGACAGGCACCTGTAATCCCAGCTACTCAGGAGGCTAAGGCAGGAGAATCACTTGAACCTGGGAGGTAGAGGTTGCAGTGAGCCAAGATCGCGCCACTGCCCTCCAGCCTGGGGGACAAGAGCCAGACTTCATCTCAAAAGAAAAAAAGGCTGTAAAGGACTTAGCACACCACCTAGTGTATAGTAAACGCTCAGTAAGTGTGCATTGTTATTGTCATAAGAATGCCTCATGCTTCGGAGGTGGTTGGTGAAGGTTGGTTGAATTGAGATTCCCCAGGTTCTCATGGAGCTGCCTGGCCACACCACTGTCCTGGTAACCCTGCCAGGCCAAGTTTGATGAGAAGAGGGCATATTGGACACAGGCCTATGTCACTTTTGATATTGGAAATGAATTTGGGGATTTAATATCACTATACCTGTTAAGATGAAACTGGCTAGAAATCTGTAGCACTCTTCCTGAGTTTTTGCAGTTTGTATGGATTCTGAAGAGCTAGCAAATGTCTCTCCAGTGCTTATTTCCATGCCTGTGTTAAAATGTGTAAATGTTGGGCCTTCTCAAGAGCCAAAAATGCCTTTCATCTTGGAAGTAGTACTTATCTCCCAGGGCGATTAATGAATTTAGTCCACTCTTTGGAAACAGTCCACCATGTTTTCCAAGGCATCCCACACAGCCAATACCTATTAGGTTTTAATGTTTCTTCCATCTAATTTACAAGCTTTTTACCTTTCCTATGAATATCAGGGCATGAGAAAGAAGGAAAGAATACTAAAATAGCTGGGCGTGATGGCTCAAGCCTGTAATCCCAGCACTTTGGGAGGCCAAGGCAGGCGGATCACGAGGTCAGGAGATCGAGACCATCCTGGCTAACAGGGTGAAACCCCTTCTCTATTAAAAATACAAAAAAATTAGCCGGGTGTGGTGGCGTGCACCTGTAATCCCTGCTACTCGGGAGGCTGAGGCAGGAGAATCACTTGAACCCAGGAGGCAGAGGTTGCAGTGAGCCGAGATTGCGCCAGTGCACTCCAGCCTGGGCAACAAGAGCGAGACTCCATCTGAAAAAAAAAAAGAATACTAAAATAGTATGGTGGTTAAAAACAAGGGCTTTGGAATCAGAGATACCCACTTCCTCCATTTTCTAGGTGTGCAAGGAAGAGCAATTCACTTAATCTTCTCAAACCTCATCCCTTGTATGTAGACCAGAGGTGATTGTACCTACCTTACAGTTTGTGAGGATTAAACTAAATGGGATCGCGTATATGCAGGGCTCAGTGCAGTGGCTGCCCTGGCTTCAGTCCCGGAAGTCCTCCCTAAAGGCAGCTATTGTTGTCGTCGTTGTTCGAGTGATCCGATACCGCATAGCGCTGTTCAGTTTTTCATACTCTGTGATGACAGGCGTGCTGCTTGAAGAAATGTTTGAACTCGCCTTTTCTCAAGTTCATTTTCTCCAGGTGATCCTGCACACCTGTGATATGGCTGATCTCAGGGTATACATTTCTCCGGCACACAAAATTTCCTTTTCACCACGCACAATTCATCCCTGATATTAGTCACTGAACTTGGAACCGTCTGGTTTTGATTGGCTAGTCAGGGTTCACTGAGGCAAATTCCTTCCTGAGATTGCTCCATATGTTCAGGAAAGGGAGTGTTTGTGAGCTGCACAGGCAGTAACGTAGACATGAAGCCAGGAGACAGCAGCACGTTGCCATTTTCAGCTACTCCCAGTGGGCAGCTGGGCAGGATGATTAATATTTTAGCATCTTTGTTCTTTCTGTTTAGCTATAACACTAGAGCTGTTTAAATCACTCTGAAAATAACATGCCTGACATTTCCTCAGTTAAAAAAAAAAAGCAACTTCAAGTAATAATCCTCTGCCTATTACTGAGGAAGTGTTTTTGGTGAGAAAGGAGGGAAAATTAGATGACTTAGGGGAGAAGGATAATTCTGAATAGCTTCATGGTGGAGAATACATTGAAACCTAAAAAGCTCAAAGGTGTGACCCAAAGTGTGTGTATAAGAGGATGAGGCCGGGCATGGTGGCTCACACCTATGATCCCAGCACTTTGGGAGGCCGAGGCGGGCAGATCATGAGGTCAGGAGTTCGAGACCAGCCTGGCCAACATGGTGAAACCCTGTCTCTACTGAAAATACAAAATTTAGCCAGGCCTGGTGGCAGGTGCCTGTAATCCCAGCTACTCGGGAGGCTGAGGCAGGAGAATTTCTTGAATCCAGGAGGCAGAGGTTGTAGTGAGCTGAGATTGCTCCACTGCACTCCAGCCTCCACGATAGAGTGAGACTCCGTCACAAAAAAAAAAAAAAAAAACAATGAGATTGGCATCAGAGGGCACCGTATATTCCGGATGTAGTCCCTGCATCTAGGTCCCTCCCACACTTGTTTTGAACATTTATGATCTGCTCACTTCTGACACTCTTCATTTATGACACACTCTTGAGATACTTGAGATTTTTCAGCACATAGAGCCCTGCAGAAATCTCAGTGTTTAAGTACTAGAGACCCGTGATCATGGTTGGATCTCCTGTTTCAGTACTTTTCTTCCCTTCTTGTGCTATTTTGCTAAAGTTGCTAAGCAATCATTTATTCAGCCTACTCTGTGTAATGCATGGAGCTAATTTTGAGACTTTAAGGATTATACCTAGCGGCAGATTTGTGATATAGGTGTAAACATTTGCCTGGTATCGTAGCTGAATTTCTAAGATAATTGCATGTCATAATTGAAAGATCACAATTGCAGATCATAATTTACATCCCTCACCACACCTTTCTATTTATAGAAGTGCCTGAGAAAAATGTTTCTTTCTAAAGCAACTGCTCTTTACAATAATTGCCTCTTTCAGCTGCTGCTGTTTAAGAATCAGATTTAGGAAGATGTGGAGCATATATGGTAATTGTCTCAAAGAAGAATATTTCAATCTCATGATAAATATTTGACTTTTATTTTTGTTTTTGTTTTTGAGACAGTCTTGCTCTGTTACCCAGGCTGGAGTGCAGTGGCCCTATCACGGCTCACTGCAACCCCTGCCTCCCAGGTTTAAGCAATTCTCTTGCCTCAGCCTCCTGAGTAGCTGGGACTACAGGTGCACACCACCACACCCAGCTAAATTTTTTTTTTTTTTTTGAGATGGAGTTTCACTCTTGTTGCCCAGGCTGGAGTACAATGGCGCAATCTCAGCTCACCGCAACCTCTGCCTCCCGGGTTCAAGCAATTCTCCTGCCTCAGCCTCCCAAGTAGTTGGGATTACAGGCATGCGCCACCACACCCTGCTAATTTTGTATTTTTAAGTAGAGATGGGGTTTCTCCATGTTGGTCAGGCTGGTCTCAAACTCCCAACCTCAGGTGATCCGCCCAGCTCGGCCTCCCAAAGTGCTGGGATTACAGGCATCAGCCATTGCGCCTGGCCTAAATTTTGTATTTTTAGTAGAGACGGAGTTTCACCATGTTCAACCAGGAGTTGGCTGGTCTCCAACTCCTGACCTCAAGTGATCCACCTGCCTCAGCCTCCCAAAGTGCAGGCGTGAGCCACCGCACCCAGCCTGTAAATATTTGACTTTGAATGGGTGAAATAAAAGTATTTTGATTTGGAGGAAGGAACTTAATACTAAAAATAGTCTCAATGGAATAGATTGCAGGGATACCTGTTATTATCAGTAATTCTGTGATAGCGAAACAAACATAATTGTTACTGTGTATTGGGTGCTCACTCTGTTCCAGGAAAGTACTATAAAGTATTGTATTTACGTAAATTATTGTATTTAATACTCATAGTGTCCCTGTGAGCGGTAATAACATTACCATTTTACAGATGGGAAAACTGAGACTCAGAGAATTAAATACCAGCCTCAAATCACGTAGCTAATAAAGAGGTGAATCTGCTCAAGCTGTAAACCATGAGGCCAGCTAGGCATAGGGATGTGTTCTGGGATGAGGATTCTTTTACATTCTTCCTCAGTGAGACTCCCCTCCCCTCTTCTTAGAAGACCAGGGAGCTCTTGCTTTACTTTTTACCTTTCCTGCCAGGGTGGATGAATATTATTCCTTGGACTTTATAAGGCTGTGGCCTAGATGCTGAGTCCCTGTCTTCTGGTGTCTGGGAAGTGTGGCGGGCCCCTTGGCCAGTCCATTTCTTTAGTCGTTCTGTCACTCTTCCTCAATGGATACTGCCCCAGTGTAGAGGAATCCAGAACATACCCCAAGCAGTCCTTCCCTGTACAGTTTCACTTTATTAAAAGGATTATAATTAGGGTTTCATTGGATGTTTTATTATTCCCCATGCTTTTTTCCTGATGGAAATTATTTCGTTGTTGAGACAGAGCCTCGCTCTGTTGCCCAGGCTGGAGTGCAGTGGTGTGATCTCGGCTCACTGCAACCTCCACCTTCCAGGTTCAAGCAATTCTTGTGCCTCAGCCTCCTGAGTAGCTGGGATTACAGGCACCTGCCACCACGCCCAGCGAATTTTTTGTACTTTTAGTAGAGACAGGGTTTCACCACGTTGGCCAGGCTGGTCTCAAACTCCTGTTTTCAAGTGATCCTCCCACCTCGGCCTCCCAAAGTACTTGGATTACAAGCGTGAGCCACTGCACCCGGCCTCCTGATGGAAATTTTTGAAAGAGAAAAGAACTCAGGGTTGAAATGAGATTTTCTTCTCAGGTTAGTCACAAATGATCTCTGCCTTGGTTTGCTTAGAACTTATAAAGCCACAAAGTGAGTTTGTCTTCATTAGATCACTCCAGGGGCTCCTTTCTGCCTTTCTTGTCAGCCTCAGGTTTCCTTAGGTGAAGGTCTCATGCGCTTGGCCTCTGTGTGACTTAGTGAGAGACTTATTTGTGCTTCTCCTCCGATAGAACCAGCCACTGTCATGTTTGTTCCCCTGATTCTCTAACCCAGGGGTCCCCAACTCCTGGCCATGGACCAGTACTGGTACGTGGCCTGCTAGGAACCAGGTTGCACAGCAGGAGGTGAGCGGCGGGCAACTGACTGAAGCTTCATCTGTATTTATAGCCCCTCCCCATTGCTTGCATTACCGCCTGAGCTCCGCCTCCTGTCAGATGAGCGGCAGCGTTAGATTCTCATAGGAGCGTGAACCCTATTGTGAACTGCACATACAAGGGAAATCTAGGTTGCATGCTCCTTATGAGAATCTAATGCCTGATGATCTGTCAGTGTCTCCCATCACCCCCAGATGGGACCATCTAGATGTAGGAAAACAAGCTCAGGGCTCCCACTGAGTCTACATGATGGTGAGTTGTAGAATTATTTCATTATATATTATAATAATAATAATAGAAATAAAGTGCGCGATAAATGTAATATGCTTGAATCATCTTGAAATCACCCCCCACCCACTAGTCCATGTAAAAATTGTCTTCCATGAAACTGGTCCCTGGTGCCCAAAAGGCTGGAGACCGCTGCTCTAACCCACCACAAGCACCAGCTTTCTCTGTGCAAATTCACACTTTCTCCTGGCAGCTGAGCCTGAATAGTTTAGCCTCCCTTTGGGCTTACTGTGAATCCACACTTCCTAGAAAGTCAAGACTATCTCTTCTTGACTTTATATTGGCTTCTGTCTCTATCTCTAGCACCCAAAGGAACAATGTATTCATAATTTTCTAAGGAAGCTGAGCTAGAATCTAGGGTGGTGGTAGGTGGAGGGTGTGCACCCTTGGAAAAAGGTAATTCTGTTGCCCACCCTCTCACCTTCCTACCCTCCACTGGAAACCACTCCTCTCCATGTTGACCTCCTGGATTGCCTCCATCCCCTCCCGCTGTGGGGTTCTGTGTATCTGCTTGTGTTTTGGATTGGTTCACTGTCTGGATCTGTCAAGGAAGATAACCATTTTTTCAGGAGCTGTGTACATGGTGAAAAATATACAGTTCTGGTTGTAAGGAACTCTCACTTGGGAATATTATTATTTAAAAACTTATACGTTGAGCTCAGTGCTGTCACAGAGGTAAGAATACTGTGGAAAGGCTATAAATATTTTTCCCCAAAGCAGGGGTTGGAAACATTTTTCTTTCCTAGGCTGTTGAGACTCACAGGGAAAAAAAAAAAAAAGCAGTGATGACCAAGTTAAGTTTTATAGTGGTAATTAATTTAATCTTCCCAACCACCTTATGAAGTTAGTATTATTATTATTCCCATGTAACAGCTGGGGAAAGTGAGGCTGAGGCAATCTAAGTAACTTGGCGAAAGGCACACAGCTACCAAGTGTCAAAGCCAGAATTTGAACCCAGATCAGTCTGATGACAAAATATGTTCTTTTAACCACCATATACATATTTACTGTCTTTCTACATGATAAAGATATGTTGTTGTTGTGAATTTAGTAGTTTTGTTTTGTTTTTTTTTTTTTTTGAGACAGAGTCTCACTCTTGTCTCCCAGGCTGGAGTGCAGTGGCACGATCTCGGCTCACTGCAACCTCCACCTCCCGGGTTCAAGCTATTCTCCTGCCTCAGCCTCCTGAGTAGCTGGGACTACAGGCGCCCACCACCAGGCCCAGCTAATTTTTATACTTTTAGTAGAGATGGGGTTTTGCCATGTTGGCCAAGCTGGTCTTGAATTCCTGACCTCAGGTGATCCACCTGTCTCGGACTCCCAAAGAGCTGGGCTTACAAGCGTGAGCCACTGCACCTGGCTGAATTTAGTAATTTTTTAAAAAGATATTCAAAATACAAATATGACTGTGCTTATCTACCTCCTTCCCCCAGAAAGGAATGGGAGTGATAGTAACATCCAAGAGTTACTAGTAAATATTGTGATATGATTGTGGAGTGAGGGAACAGTTGCATTCCCAGAAGCTAAATAAGCATTTCCTAACTATGAAAGTTTTTTTTAACCCTTTCATACACTCTGAAGCCCCTTCATCTCCTTTATCATTCCCAAAGATGTATACTCAACTGCAAAAGAAGGAGACTTTGCTACTGGTATCACAGGATAGTTTCTTGTTGTGCCCTTTATGAAGCCATTGTCTCTCAACCCCAAACATGGCCTTCTGTGCCCTCCTGTGTGATGCTGGAGCTCGGCCTCTGCAAGCCACATTTCTGTCTTGCCAGCTGCCTCTCTATTCGGCTCTGCCAGTAGCGAGTTCTAGATGCTGCAAAGCTGCAGCATCCTTCTAGATGCCAAAAAAACTTATTTGATGTGTTTTTGAAGAATGTGGTAGAAAGCAACAGATTTCAGCTCAACTCTTCTGTGCTTAAGAGCCAGCATATTGGCCAGGCGTGGTGGTTCACTCCTGTAATCCGAGCACTTCGGGAGGCCGAGGCAGGTGGATCACAAGGTCAGGAGATGGAGACCATCCTGGCTGATATGGTGAAACCCCATCTCTACTGAAAATACAAAAAATTAGCTGGACGTCGTGGTGGGTGCCTGTAGTCCCAGCTACTCGGGAGGTTAAAGCAGGAGAATGGAGTGAACCTGGGAGACAGAGCTTGCAGTGAGCCGAGATCATGCCACTGCACTCCAGCCTGGACGACAGAGCGAGGCTCCATACAAGGAAGTGATGTGTATTTCCCATTTGCTTCCTGTGAGCTTCCCGTCTGTGGTACACAAGATACGCTTCTTCACCCTGGCAGCAGCAGTTCTTTCCCTGAGGCAGCAGCTGGCTGAATTCAGTCCACGGGTTTTTCAACACTTGCACAATCAGCCTCTTCAGGTACCCTGGAGACACTTGTGTCACCTGAGCAGCACCTCCTCCTCCTCAGAATTTCGAGTTCACTTCCATGGGGGCCCTCGTCCAGGCTCTTTATTTTAATAATTTTCACCTCTTGCTTTTATCTCTTCTGCTCCCATGATACCTTAGAGTTCTGTTTTTACCCTCTCACCTAGTTAACAACTCTATGTCTTGTTAATGGCTCTCTCTGCCTTAAATTCTTTCTGTTAAAATAACTGGAGTGGGCCGGGCATGGTGGCTCACGCCTGTAATTCGAGCACTTTGGGAGGCCAAGGCAGGCGGATCACTAGGTCAGGAGATCGAGACCATCCTGGCTAACACGGTGAAACCCTGTCTCTACTAAAAAATACAAAAAGCATTAGCCGGGCGTGGTGGTGGGCGCCTGTAGTCCCAGCTACTCAGGAGGTTGAGGCAGGAGAATGGCGTGAACCCGGGAGGTGGAGCTTGCAGTGAGCCGAGATTGCACCACTGCACTCCAGCCTGGGCAACAGAGTGAGACTCCGTCTCAAAAAAAAAAAAAAAAAAATTAAATAACTGGAGTGATTTCTGTCGCCTGATCAGACCCTGGCCGATACGCCTATATAATTCAGGCCTCTGCTGTTTGGCTTCAGCTTCGTTCATCATATGACACTGTCATCTGGAAGAGCAGTCAGTCCTCTAAGCAGCCTCTCTGATCCATACTTCATATTGCATTGGGAGTGCTGGATTTCTTTGAGGAACAAGAGCACGAGAGCAAACTCGAAGTTAGAACCTCTCGTATATTTTCTAGCAAGTCATGCATTGGTCTTCTCAAAGTCATGATTACTTTTGAATTATTTTAAAAACTTATTTGATGTGTTTTTGAAGAATGTGGTAGAAAACAACAGATTTCAACTCAACTCTCCTGTGCTTAAGAGCCAGCATATTGGCAGGGCACGGTGGCTCACGCCTGTAATCCCAGCACTTTGGGAGGCCAAGGCGGGCGGATCACGAAGTCAGGAGATCGACACCATCCTGGCTGACACGGTGAAACCCCATCTCTACTAAAAATACAAAAAATTAGCCAGGCGTGGCAGTGGTCGCCTGTAGTCCCAGCTACTTGGGAGGTTAAGGCAGGAGAATGGCGTGAGCCCAGGAGGCGGAGCTTGCAGTGAGCCAAGATGGCGCCACTGCACTCCAGCCTGGACGACAGAGCGAGACTCCATCTCAAAAAAATAAAATTAAAAGCCAGCATATTTACTCCTCCATATATAATAGTATATGCAGAGGTAACCATAACTAGAATACATAGTAAAATTCAAACGAGCCTTGGTTTTCTTAGCAAGATTGGTTTAAGTACTGGACCTTTAGTTATAAGTATTCTGTAAATAGTAACTTTCTGCCCTTCTTGGTATTTGCTACATTATAGTGAATATGATGGCTGACTCTCCAACATCCATTCCAAATTCTTATCCTATGCCAATCACAGTGAACCTATTCTCCTTGTCAAAAATTGGATTGATAATGGGCAGGTAACCCGTTTCAGCCAATTAAACATGAAGGAAAATCTGCTCTAGGGCCTCTGGCTAAAGTTTTCTTCCTAGAAAGAAAGAGACCAGAAAGAGGTGTCTCACCTTTTTTATTCCTCTACAAAGTATGTCTGGATGTGGCATCTGAAACTTCTCTAATTAGTACCTTATGATCATGAGAACAGCCAGCCTGAGGGCAAAGCCCTCATTGAGGCTGGAAGAGCACAGAGATTATGGTAGGCAGAATTATAGCCCCCACTAGAGATATCCATGTCCTAGGCTCTGTAATCTGAAGATGTGTTACTTTACGTGGCCAGAGACTTTGCAGATGTGCTAAGGAAGGGTATGGCCTTGAGATGGAGAGAGAGTTTTGGATTCTCTGATGGGCCCAGTGTAACCACCAGAGTTCTTAAATGTGGAAGAGGGAGCAAGAGAGTCAGTGTTAGAGTGATGTGATGTGAGAGACTCGAGCAGTCATTGCTGGCTTAGAAGATAGAAGGGGCCACAAGCCAAGGAGTGTGGGCAGCCCCTAGAAGCTGGAAAGGCAAGGAAATGGATTCTCCTGGAGCCTCCAGAAAGGAAGACAGCCTTTCTGACACGTTGATTTTAACCCACGGAGACCTACGTCAGACATCTGACCTCTGGACCTATAAGATGATAACTTTGTATTGTTTTAAGGCACTAGGTGTGTGGGAATTGGTTATAGCAGCAGTAGGAAACTAGTAACGAGATGGAAAGAATGATGGCTGCTTGATGACTTTGCAGAACCTCAGCATTAGCCAACTCTAGAGCAACCCTGCATTTCTTACCATGAGAGACACATTTCTGTGATGTTTAATCCAGTTCGAGTCTCATTTTCTGCTACTTGCAGCCACAGCTGTCCTAAGCAAGATGCATACGTACTTAGCAGAGTTCTGTGTCTAAGGCGGACTCTAAATGAGTGTTTGCTGAATAGTGAAAAAATGCAGGAGAAAAAAACCCCAGAATCCACATCTAAAGAAGCAGGGCTGTTTTCCGATTCATAGTAAGTGTAATAACTTAGAACTTTTTTTTTGTTTTTTAAAAATAAAAGACACAAAAGATGTTTGGAAAGATGGATAAATTATTTGAATGCTGAGATGGCCTAGAACTTCAGCAGGTGCACTTTCAAATTGCCAGATTCATTTCCTATAGTGACCTCCAGGCATTCAGAGTCTCTTTTCTGAAATAACATTTCAGCAGATTCTGTGAACATGCCAAGAAGTGATTATTTTTACAAATCCAGATGATTTCCTAATTTAGGATGGCTCAAGCAGAGGAAGAAATGAAGGGAAACATAGACTCTTTTTCCATCTCCACAGAGTGGGAACAGCCCTGGTACTGGCTTGAAGCAAATGTTGCTGACAACTATGAAAGTGGTTATCACCGGACAGCTGTTCAGTGGCCTCAGTGAACTCAGCTGGAGGCCCAGCCCAGTTTCAGATCAGAGAGGCCAAAGATCAAATGGTGTTTCATTTGGTTTCCATGCCTTTTCTTCACTGCCTCTGGGTTTCAAATTAGTTTTTGTAATTTCTGTTCCAAAGACTGTCCTGAGACCCACAAGACTCG
Source organism: Homo sapiens (assembly GCF_000001405.40). Lineage (NCBI taxonomy): Eukaryota > Metazoa > Chordata > Mammalia > Primates > Hominidae > Homo > Homo sapiens. Next base: position 9,456,280 of record NC_000017.11, on the reverse strand, counting down.
CTTCATCTGCCACCCCCCAAATACACTTGCTTAGCCTCACTTCCTCCCTCTCCTCCCTTTCACCAGCAAATGGGTTTTTTTAAAAAGTAATTCATTTCCGTGGGAAAATAGGAATTCTCTTATCATGACACCCAGCCCCTACCCATCTAGTGAGGGCCTTCTCTGAGGGTGGCGTATTTAAAAGCTTAACAGCCCTGATAGTTAGGATTCCTCCCAGGATCTGAATCCTGGGTGAAACACAGTTGGATCGTCAGGTTAGGGAGGGAGGGTGTGCTGGGAGAGTAAATTGTGCCCCCAGATCCCAGATGAGGATGAGCTGTACACTGCAGATGGGTTTGTTGATATGCCTTTGCATATGAGAAATGGTCAGAATCCTAATTAGACTTATTGGTTGCGTACCTCCCCCTTATAGTAGCAAGTTGTAAAGTTTTAGAAATAATTTTCAGAGACTCTTGGCTGGAAGACTGTTACAGAGTTAGCCCACTTTGTGAATAATATTGTATGTACTGTCTGCAGAGGACATTGACTGTTGCTGAAGTGTCTGTATTCCTGTCCATATTTTAAGTTTCTCCTTTTCTTCCCTTCCTGATACCATAGTCAAAATCTTACTGTTTTTATTCAGTTTTTTAAAAATTCTTATTGCATTGTAATATTTTCATTTGTGCTTTTTTTTACACCAAGATACCAAAATATTTTCCTTGCTGTGCCTTTTCTTGTAGCCACCAAAGCCTTCACTATTTTTCTTTTATTTTGTTTTGTTTTTATTTATTGATTGATTTTTGAGACAGAGTCTCGCTCTGTCGCCCAGGCTGGAGTGCAGTGGCGTGATCTCGGCTCACTGCAACCTCCGCCTCCTGGGTTCAAGCGATTTTCCTGCCTCAGTGTCCCGAGTAGCTGGGATTACAGGCGCGTGCCACCATGCCTGGCTAATTTTTTTGTATTTTTAGTAGAGACGGGGTTTCACCGTGTTAGGCAGGATGGTTTCAATCTCCTGACCTCATGATCCGCCCACCTCGGCCTCCCAAATTGCTAGGATTACAGGCGTGAGCCACCGCACCCAGCCTTGTTTTGTTTTTTAAGAGACAGGGTCTTGCTCTGTCACCCAGGCTGGAGTGCAATGGTGTCATCATGGCTTACTGCAACCTCAAGCAATCCTCCCACCTGAGCCTTCCAAGTAGTTGGGACTACAAGTGCACACCACCACACCTGGCTAATTTTTTAATTTTTTGTAGAGACGGGGTTTTGCTGTCTTGCCCAGGCTGGTCTCAAACTCCTGACCTCAAGTGATGCTCCCGCCTTGACCTTCCAAAGCGCTGGGATTACAGGCATGAGCCACTGTGCCCACTTTAAACTGTTTAATCTACTGTTGTAAAAACATTGTACCTGAATATATTCCTGAGTGTAAGATAATTTTTTTTGTCTCCAAAGAGGATGATCCATCCTCTGCCCCCTAGAACAGTTTCTTTCCCAAATCAATAGTTCCCCCTTATATGTGGTTTCGCTTTCTGTGGTTTCAGTTACCCATGGTCTGCTGCAGTCCCAATATATTAAATGGAAAATAGCAGGAAAAACAATTCATAAGTTTTTTTGTTTTTTTTTTTTTGAGACAGTCTCGCTCTGTCGCCCAGGCTGGAGTGCAGTGGCGCGATCTTGGCTCACTGCAAGCTCCGCCTCCCGGGTTTGCGCCATTCTCCTGCCTCAGCCTCCCGAGTAGCTGGGACTATAGGCGCCTGCCACCAGGCCTGGCTAATTTTTTGTATTTTTTTAGTAGAGATGGGGTTTCACTGTGTTAGCCAGGATGGTCTCGATCTCCTGACCTCGTGATCTGCCCGCCTCGGCCTCCCAGAGTGCTGGGATTACAGGCGTGAGCCACCGCGCCCGGCCAGCCCGGCCCATAAGTTTTAAATTATGCCCTGTTCTAAGTAGCATGATGAAATCTCATGCCATCCTGCTCTGTTCCACCTGGGACACGAATCATCCCTGTGTCCAGCATCTCCATGCCATACGTGCTCCCGGCCTACGAGTCATTTGGTAGCCCTCTTGGTTATCAGATTGAGAAAGGGTTTGGTACTATCTGAGGTTTCAGGCATCCACTGGGGACCTTAGAATGTATCCCTGAGGACAAGCGGGGACTACTGTGTATACTTTTAGGACTATAGCTGAAATAATCAAATATGATATTCAATTTATTTAATGATGTATATATAATGTAGAAAACATATTTAGAATATAGTCATTCCACTTTAACTTTATGACATAGTTTCTTATAAACGCTTCCTTTGCACCAGTGTCTGAAGCCATGTGAGAGCGGTTTCCCAGAGCCTCGCCTTCCCTCTTCTTCAATTGCCATCCATGCTTCCCCATCCAGACTGGTGACTTTTACAGACTCTTACCCATAAGTCCCCTTAGGAGAGCAAGAGACTCATGGCACAATTTATTTATTAACTCAACACATAGTTATTAAAAATCCTCCATAAGAAAGACAAGTAGCCAGGTACGGTGGCTCACACCTGTAATCCCAGCACTTTTAGAGGCTGAGGTGGGTGGATCACCTGAGGTCAGGAGTTTGAGACCAGCCTGGCCAACATGGTGAAACCCTGCCTCTACTAAAAATACAAAAATTAGCTGGGCATGGTGGCACATGCCTGTGATCCCAGCTACTCGGGAGGCTGAGGCAGGAGAATCGCTTGAACCCGGGAGGCAGAGGTTGCAGTGAGCCGAGATCACACCACTGCACTCCAGCCTGGGCAACAGAGTGAGACCCCATCTCAAAAAAAAAAAAAAAAAAAAAAAGATGAGTAGTGACAGGAGGTATAAAGTGCTCTTGAAGGTTGTATACAGTTCATACCTTCCTGTCTAATTCAGATCTGAATATGGTAGGTATCCTTCACCATCTGTCCCACAATTAGATTATAAATTGGTGTTAATTACAATAGTGTTTTCTCCATGGGGTAAACATAATGATGGTGAGATTACTATCACAGTAGCAGCTGAGCTGATTCATAATGATCTTCCTTGATTTTCCTGGAGGCTTACAGTGGATTGGATGAACCTACCCTATGAACCAGGGTCAGTGAGTTTCTAGTCATAGGAAATTAACCTTTCGGATCCCCACACCATTTTCTAGCCATACTGAGTACTAAAGATGAGAAACATCTAAAAGAAGGCCCATCCTGGCCAGGCGCGGTGGCTCACGCCTGTAATCCCAGCACTTTGGGAGGCCGAGGCGGGCAGATCAGTTGAGGTCAGGAGTTCAAGACCAGCTTGGCCAACATGATGAAACCCCGTCTCTACTAAAAATACAAAAATTAGCTGGGCGTGGTGGTGGGCACCTGTAATCCCAGCTACTGGGGAGGTTGAGGCAAGAGAATAGCTTGAACCCGGGAGGCAGGGTTGCAGTGAGCCGAGATCACGCCACTGCACTATAGCACTGCAGCCTGGCAACAGAGCGAGACTCTGTCTAAAAAGAAAAAAAAACAAGGGCCATCCTACTGGGATACTTTGTTATCCAACTTCCCAAGTAGATTTTTAATCTTAAAATCATCAACAACCAAGGCAGTGTAGAAGTTTATACATTGAGAACACCCGTCATGTGACAACCTTTCAAGGGTTTCAGGTGCTCGCCTACACCTGAGAACCCCTAGCTGTTCTGCTTTGTCACACCGAGAGCCAAAGCTACTGCCAGGCTGGGGGACCATTTGCCCCAAGTGTTCATTTGGCTTCTGCGGCATCGGGTTCAGCACCATCCCAAAGCTGGGCACTTCCTACCACCTACCTGAACCTTTCAGAGTGGCAGTGTGTTGTAGAGGACTAATTCCTTCTCACAGGCTGTATCATAGTTGAGTAAGAACTAGTGTTCGGAAATAGAAACACACATTTAACTTCTAGTTGAGCAAAGATTTTTTTTTTTCTATTTTTGGTAACTAATTTCATTAAAGATAGAAGAGATTTTTCTCTCATCCCACCTTTCTCCGATGTCAATTTTCTTTCTCATAAGTGCTCTTGTGTTTGAAAGCAGGGAAAATAAAGCTAATTGTTTCAGGTATTTTTAGATAAGAGATGGGCTCCACCAAGAAGCTGTCAGGTACTTGGAGTGTCCAGGGTGAAAACATGATCAGAAAAAAAAAAGTCAAAGAAGTTACTAAATTAAGTTATAGTTACTAAGTAACTAGAGTTTGAGTCATATCTCAGGTCATAATGGTGAAATTGTCATTGGAATGTATGTCATAGTTACACATTATTATTTGACTCCAGTAGGACAATTCATGCACTTTATATTAAGAGAGATTGCAATAAATCCTTCCATGTTTTAACTGAAACCATCAAGGTAATTTAATTGGATTAAGAGAAAAACATAAATCAGATGCAGCTCAAATTAAACCAAATAAGAAAGAGGAAGCAAAATATCAAACTCAAATTTTCTAAGCAGTGAAACTTTTGTTCCGTTTTCTAAGAATTCATGGTGTCCATCTCTCTCTCTCTCTCTCTCTGTATATATGTATATTTTTGTGTATATATGAATATATTTAAATTGCACATTTGTTTATGAAGTATTCAAAAATAATCATTTTTGGAAAAATCTAGCAACTTGGGTATTTTTCTATTTTTCTTTAAATATTCATTTTTTATTGAAAGGAGAACTTAGAGATGGGTTTATTTATAAAGTTATAAAAATAATTTGGACATATATATCATAGGAGTTAAATTATATCTCTTGGAATAGGAACTTTTACTGAATGCAAAGTATATAATATTTTCACTTCATTAGACACCACGAACCCTAGCAGGGGTCATAGCTACATCAGAGGTACCATTTTATTTAGAAAAATTTTAAAAACTATGGTTTCCAAAGGGAATTAGTGCTTACTTTGGAAAGTTACATTAAACGTGGAGATGATGCCTTGTGTAAGTTCTCGAACTGAGATGTCTGTCGCCGTAGATCACACACTTAGTAACAAAGTGTGACATGGAAAGATGAGACGAAATGGCATTGACTTATGGGATCCTGTTTTTTCTCCACAGAGAGATACATATATGTGGAATCAAGTTCTGACCACTCCAAGTCTAGCTTGAAGAAGTTGTTAATGGGATTATGGTGTGGATTAGATCTGGAAAAAGTGAATAATTCCCAAGATAAATGCTGGAAGGGAGGGACGGTATAAACAAAGGAGATAATTTTAACATATATGCCAGAAGATTTGAGGGCTTAAGTTTGTGTAAGCACCATTGCTTTAAGATAGAGTGAGGAAGTGATATAAGTAAGGCTGTCTTATTCATTTTTGTGTTCCTGGTACTGAGCGCAGGGCCCAGAACACAGTCCATGCTTGGCAAATCTTTTTTGTGTTACTGGACAAAAAGGCAGGACCTCTTATGGAGGAAGGCTGCAAAAGAGGCCTTGTTTCAGGATGTCATTTGGACTTCCTGCATTGCTGGTTAAGAGCAGGTATGTCTACAAAATACTGAGAATACCACCGAGAAATAAAATTCCTTCTTAAGAAATACTGCTGTGTGAATGGGGAGAAAAGTGCTGACTTGAAATTGATCAATGAGTCCTACCTTGCCAGATTATCATGCTGGTCTTTGCTAGAATGGCAGAATTAATTAGATTTTTATAAAATAAAACAAATCATCAATTTATATTATAGCTAGATAAAAATGTGCCTATGAACATCGGTAAAAATTAGAGGAAGTCAGGCGCAGCTGCATGCTTCGCAGCTACTAGGGAGGCTGAGGCTGGAGGATCGTTTGAGGCTAGTCTGAGTAAGATAGGGAGATTCTATCTCTAACACACACACATCCGTATATATGGGTCTTGGAGAATTTGAAGGAATGTCTATCATTACAGCATTATTATTTTTTACTACCTTTTTTAGTGTGAGGTTTATTTAGTTAAATTTACATGTAAGGTCAGGCGTGGTGGCTCACACCTGTAATCCCAGCACTTTGGGAGGCCGAGGCGGGCAGATTACTTGAGGTCAGGAGTTTGAGACCAGCCTGGCCAACATGGTGAAACCCCATCTCTACTAAAAATACAAAAATTAGCCGGGCGTGGTGGCGCATACCTGTTTTCCCAGCTACTAGGGAGGCTGAGGCAGAATCACTTGAGCCTGGGAGGCAGAGGTTGCTGTAAGCCAAGATCGCACCACTGCACTCTAGCCTGGATGACAGAGCGAGACTCCATCTCAAAAAAAAAGTTACATGTAGCAAATTTCATCTTTTTTTTATGAACAATTTAATGAGTTTTGATATATATACTTGAGATATAAAACAAGTCCATCACCTTCAAAGGTTCTTTCATTCTCCTTTATTTATTTTTTAATTAATTTTTGAGACGGGGCCTCACTATGTTTCCCAGGCTGGCCTCAAACTCCTGGGCTCAAGAGATTCTCCAGCCTCAGCCTCCCAAGTTACTGGGACTACAGGTGTGTGCCACCTGTGCTTGGCTCATTCAACCCCTTTACAGGTAGACCCTCTTCTCACTCCCAGCCCCTGGGCATCACTGATTTGTTTGCTGTCCCTCAAGTTTTGCCTTTTCCAAAATGGAATATAAATAGAATTGTGAAGTTTGTAGCTTTTTGTATCTGGCTGCTTTCACTAAGCATAATGCATTTAAGATTTATTCACATTGTTGCATACATCCGTAGTTTGTGCCTTTTTATTGTGGTGGAATAGCTTATTGTCTAGCTGTACCACAATTTGTTTGTTTGTTTATTTATTTTTGAGACGGAGTCTCGCTCTGTCGCCCAGGCTGGAGTGCAGTGGCTCCATCTCGGCTCACTGCAGGCTCCGTCCCCCGGGGTTCACGCCATTCTCCTGCCTCAGCCGCCCGAGTAGCTGGGACTACAGGCGCCCGCCGCCATGTCCGGCTAATTTTTTGTATTTTTAGTGGAGACGGGGTTTCGCCGTGTAAGCCAGGGTGGTCTCGATCTCCTGACCTCGTGATCCGCTCGCCTTGGCCTCCCAAAGTGCTGGGATTATAGGTGTGAGCCACCGCACCCGGCAATTTGTTTGTTTATTTACCAGTGGAAGGACATTGAGTTGTTTTCAGTTTGTGGCAGTTTTGACTAAAGCCACTACAGATGGGTATGTTTGGATTTTTGTGTGAACAATTGTTTTTATTTCTCTTGGGTAATCCTGCCTAGGAGTAGGATTGCTGGTTTGTATAAGCATATGTTTAGTTTTCTAAGAAACTGATCAACTGTTTCTAAGGTGGCTGGATTATTTGCATTTCCATCAGTGGTGTATGAGAGTTTCAGTTGCACCTTATTCTTGTCAGCACTTGGTATTGTCATTTTAGAAATTTTTTTAATCTATGTATCTTTTTAAAAAAGATTGCAGTAATATATATTTTTTTAATAATGTAGAGAACTGACCCTTACCTTTCAAAAGCAAAAACATCTGTCTTTCTCTGAGAAGCAAAAATTTTGTATTAAGGTCATTTCTGAAAATAATTAGAGTCAGTCCTCATTCATTTGTGGCGCTCATGTTCTGTAAAGTCACCGTGAACACCAAGTTAGTGCATACTGAACCACTGTTCTTAGGGGAAATACAGCGTTAGGGTCCCTCAAGCTCATAGCATTTTCATCAACCAATTAATGAAACCCTGCTTCTAAGTGTTTCTGTTAAGGACATATTATTTTATATACATAGATAGGTATAGATAGATAGTGGGTTAACATTGAACTCCTGGGCAACAGCTTGAATGAAACTTACCGAATACATGTATTTTCTCCGTAACGCACATTGCAGCCTTCTTGTGCTTAGGAACGCCAAACGGCACTTTAGCAGTACACTTGGGGCCATTTTAAACGGCAGAATCACAACAAGCAACAACAGAAATGTGAAAGACTAAACACACCGCCGAAAGGACACTTGTTTGCAGTATGTGGAGCTGAAACGAGAAGGCAGGGCGTTGCCTTGCTCAGCCTCAGTTAGGAGTGTGCGGGTTGGGCGACTCAGACTTTTTGCCTCTCTGTGCATGTTCACGAATGACTCTGAAAGTTCCTCAAATATTGTCTTGGGGGTTACAAATAAGTTTTAGCAAGTAGGCAAATTCATAAATATGCAATCCATGAATAATGAGGATCAAACTTTTTTTTTTTTTTTGAGATGGAGTCTCATTCTGTTGCCCAGGCTGGAGTGCAATGGCACAATCTCGGCTCACTGCAACCTCTGCCTCCTGGGTTCAAACAGTTCTCCTGTCTCAGCCTTCCAAGTAGCTGGGACTACAGGCGCACACCGCCATGCCCAGCTAATTTTTGTATTTTTAGTAGAGACAGTTTGATGATGCTGGCCAAGCTGGTCTTGAACTCCTGACCTCGTGATCTGCCTGCCTCGGCCTCCCAAAGTGCTGGGATTACAGGCTTAAGCCACCGCACCTGGCCAACCATATTCTTATATTTTAGAAAATGCATAAACTTAGTTCAGTTGAAATGATCTGTAATGATTTGGTTTAATGCCAAACATCATTCAATTTTTTTATTCCAATAAATTGATGAGAACATTAATTTGCCAAACCAGGACCATTTGGTATGAAGATTGCTTTAAAAACTTCTCAAGGCCGGGTGTGGTGGCTCACGCCTGTAATCCCAGCACTTTGGGAGACTGAGGCTGGTGGATCACTTGAGGTCAGGAGTTCGAGACCAGCCTGGCCATCATGATGAAACCCCATCTCTACTAAAAATACAGAAATTAGCTGGGTATGGTGGCAGGTGCCTGTAATCCCAGCTACTGGGGCGGCTGAAGCAGAAGAATTGCTTGAACTCGGGAGGCCGAGGTTGCAGTGAGCTGAGATTGCGTCACTGCACTGCAGCCTGGGCAACAGAGCAAGACTCTGTCTCAAAAAAGAAAAAACAAAAGAACAACTCCTCAAAATCTTCCTAAGATTTTATCCCCAGGCAAATGCAAAGACATGTTCTTGATTTTATATTAAAAACTCTTGTGCACCATTCTAACGTATTGTGCACACACTTCATTCTTGTAATTTAAAATGTTGAACTCTGAAGTTTTGTCATAGTAATAGCTAAAGGGTATGTGTTTAAATTCAGGAACAGATTAACGCACTTACCAAACCTCCATTGCTTAAAAGTAATTATAAGTTTTCTAGATTGACTGCCAATATAATATAGGCCCCAAAGAAATCACCCCTCTTTACTGAGACAGAACAATAAATTGGTTTTCCTGAATACGGTGGGTAAAGAATCCAAGTTCTTGACCTTGAATATTTCACTGATCGTATTCTATGCAGTAGGGAACAATCAGGATGACATTTGCTGAAATGTTTGAGATTTATAACATAATAGCTTGAGCATATGTGCCAAAAAATAGAAATCTTAAATCCTATCAAATCAAGATTAATTACCTATTAAAATACTAACAAATAGTGCAATACAGGTGGCATAATAAGCTGTCTCTCTTCATACATTGTTACAAAACAAACTGTTTTGGCAGTGACATGAAACATCACGGATCTTCTGTCTCACTCTCAGTGGGAAAACGGAAAAAAACTGCTACTCAGTCATTCTTGGTGTGGATTTTGGCATTTCATTAGGAAGTGCTATCTCAAACCTTTTCACTGAAAAGCACATGCAACTCTCTGGAAACTGCTATATTTCCTGGCTTTGTACTACTGCCAAAAAAACTGTTGCTTCTCCTCATCATTAACTACTACTTATTTATTCCTTTCTATCTTTGTGGATAGTAACCCGTGTAGCACTCCCGTGAAAAGGAAAACAGTAGTTTGCTTCCTCCTCCTCACCAGCCTTGAAGAAATTAATCCCCTGGGCTAAATTTCTTCTTTATATTCAGCTTTCACTTCACACTAATAGTTTCAACTGTGGACGTGGTGGTAATAGCAGAAATGGTGCAGTTATGTTTGTATTTCTTCATTAAAATAATTTTCGAAAGTTGTGGGAAAATGCTCATGAAATTTTATCATTAAATCTGAGCTAGAATAATAAAGCACAGTGTTGCTAAGTTGGCTTCCAATGAATAGTCAGTCAGCAAATATTTAGTGAGGATCTACTATGTGCCAGGCATTCTTCTAGGCTTTAGTGACACCATGGTGAATAAAATAGTCCCTGGCCCCCATGTAATTATTCTGTTTTCTTGTGCTAAATGTCTTTGTTTAAAATATTTTTTAAGGAGGCCACGCACAGTGGCTCACGCCTGTAATCCCAGCACTTTGGGAGGCTGAGGAGGGCAGATCACAAGGCCAGGAGATCGAGACCATCCTGGCTAACATGGTGAAACCCCGTCTCTACTAAAAATACAAAAAAATCAGCCGGGCGTGGTGGCAGGCGCCTGTAGTCCCAGCTACTCGGGAGGCCGAGTCGGGAATGGCGTGAACCCGGGAGGCAGAGCTTGCAGTGAGCTGAGATCACACCACTGCACTCCAGCCTGGGAGACAGAGCAAGACTCTGTCTCAAAAAAAAAAAAAAAGAGAAAAAAAGAAAAAAATGTATATTCTTTAAGGAAAGATGATAGAAAAGATGTGCAAAAAAACTGCTATTGAAAAAGTAGTGTGCTTAATGTATCTTCATGGTTTAAAAAGTGGGTAATAGTTTGGAAGTGGGTCTTTTATGGTTTGAAAAGCATGCAGAATCTTGGAAAATTTAATGACTCAAACTTATAAAACACGGTACCTGCTTGATCTGTTATTCCGATTTACAACTTAGGTACCAGTTTTCTTAAGTAAATATGCCTTCCCCGCTTGCGTGGTGTTTTAAAGCTCTTCATTCCGTGAGCCCTCACCCCCACCCCCCAACCCCCTCCCCCACCATCCCCCCCTCCCCGGCCACCACTCTTCGCATTCTAAAAGAAACCCAGGGGCATGCCATTCTTCTTTCTGAGACCCTGGACTGTCTACCTCTGAGTGGTGTTAACAAGCTGTACCTTTTCATTTGTTTTTTACCAAACAAACTCTTTAGCAGTGACATGAAATATCATGTCTCTTCTTTCTCACTCGCAGTGGGAAAAGGAAAAAAGAAATGTTCCTTGGTCGTTCTCTTTGTGGATTTTGGCATTTCATTGGAGTGCCAATAGGTATTCATTTTTTATGTTGCTCTGGAAAGCTGTAAGCAGCCTTCAAAGTCACAAAGCAAACTCAGTCCCTAACGGTTCTCCAAACTTAGGTCAGAAAGGTGGGGAACTTTATTTTTCTGGGCAGAGAGTGCATGAATAATACACTTGCAACCTGCTCAGCTTCCCTAAGTTCTCTTTAGCTAGCTTCTCCACTCGAACTACACATCAATCTGTCACCAGTGGTCAGCAGCTCAGCAGAGAGCCAGTGTTATTGTGAACCTACGGTGGAATGACTTGCTTCCCAGCTGGTGATCAATCTGTGTTAGACGGCAACATGTTTGCTTCTACAAATGAGCTGGACCCCTCTGTAACATATCTCTGCCAACTTTTGAAAGAAAGAGTCTGTTTCAATTCTTTTCCGGGGTAAAGACAAAAAGCCTGTCTCCCTTTGCACAACCAGCTATTGAACAATCCGTGCAAATATTTACAGCCAGTATCCTAAAGAAATTGTTTTCAGAGGTCAGGAAGTTGCACTAAAAAAAGGAAGAAAAAATACATGTTTGTGTGCATACATAGAAGATAAATATATTTTGCTTTTCTTTAGTAAAGATGATGTGCTCATGGATGCACCATCTCTGGAGACTTCTCCCTTATATATAAAAAGATCTTGAGGTTTAGGACTTTAGCTGACTTCTCCAAGCTCAAGATGAAATTAACATTGTGTTACTGCTATGGAAAATGCTACACAACTTTAACTGAGGTTTATTATTATTAATTAAGGAAGGACCAGATCTAAACTGGAAATAATTCCACCAAATCAGCGCTAGTCAGGACACACATGATTTGTCGTACTGATTGTGAACTTTCTTAAGATTCACTAGGGCAGAGAGGGGCAGGATAATCCAGAAACCAAGGGCTAGCAGATGCGCTTTGCGTTGTTAGAGCTGAAGAAGTAATTAAGAGAAGAACAGACAGGGAGGGGTGGCTCATGCCTGTAATCCCAATGCTTTGGGAGGCCAAAGTGGGAGGACCGCTCGAGGCAGGAGTTTGAGACCAGCCTGGGACAACATAGCAAGACTCTGTCTCTATAAAGGAGAGAGAGAGAGAAAGAGAGAAGAATGTGCGAAAGTGTGTGTGAATAAAGAATGGGATGAGGACTGGTGGACAGGAAATAGAAGTGTGAGGGAGGTCTTTGTGTCAAACTAGGTATGATACAGTGCTATGGTATGTTCTGGATAGGTATGAATGAACACGATGACAGAAATCATTCGTCGTGTCACATGATGACACAGGAAGTTATTCATGAAAAGGGCCAGGCAAAGTGGAAAACTTTGAGGAAGGGCCAAAAAGGAAGGGTGTATATTGGGTATTTGGTAATAAGAGCTGATGGTCCGCCTTGCCTGTGATCATGTCAGCCCACCAGACAAACAGCTTCTGTTTAGTTGTCATTTAGTAGAGAAATACAAAGGAACATTGGAATGTTTTGCACCTATGGTAGGTGGGGTTCCTCATTTCTCCTTAGAGAAGAGTAGGGGTTCCAGACCCACAGAGGAGCCAGTAGAAATAATATAAATGAGTTAGGAAGAAGAGAACTCTGGAAAAGGAGGGTTGGAAATTACCTTGGCCTCAGATTATTGCACAGTTGGACAATGACTGTGGTTCTGTGGCTCAAGGGAGTGGCTCTGTGTGGCTCTATGGCTCAAGGGGAATGGCTCTGTGGCTCGGGGGAGCCCTAGAAGGGATTTCTTTGTTAAGAAGCAGTTATTAGGTGAGCTTAGTGGTACCCTCCAATATCATACCACATGAACTCGCAACAGACTGTCCCACATTGCTTAATTTAAATTTCCTTGGGGATGCGGACTGTGTGTGGTCTATCTTTGTGCTCTCCCTTACATATAGTAGGTACATTGTAGATGCTTAATGAATGAGTGACTCTAGTTCTGTTCTGGGAAAGAGAAAAGAGTTGAAGGCCCTATGGCTGCTTTCAGTAGTTGATTTAATCATTCAGCTCCAAACGTGAAGATTAGCAACTCCTAAGAATAGTGGTGGTTGCCCTTTTGGATATATGATCCTCCACATTCCCAAGCCTGTGTTTGAAGGTAACCTGCAAGGAGGACACATTACAGAAGGGCATGATTATCTTCTTTGATGTTAACTGCCATGATGACTAGTATCTTCCAAACATCTGAGCAACTCTCCATAGCACCCTGTAGCCCCTTTATCTATGAGATTATCTTAGTTCAATCTATAACCAGAATGTCTCCACATTTCATCAGCTTTTGACTATAAATGCATTACGTTGATGCCTCTGAGGCCATATTAACATTATCATCCATACCTGACTGACTCCCCTCTCTAAATGTTTTAATGAGTCCCAAGAGGATATCTCACACGTTCTTAGGAGTCTGGCTGCTAATAATATACCACACCACTGCTACTCATCTATACCACCTGGAGACAATGCTTGCCCCTCAGTGCTGTAATTTGGGACCTCCACTATTCACTTCTTTTGCTCCAAGGTGACCACTAAAGTTTCAATAAAGAAGATACAGGCCGGGCACAGTGGCTTGTTCCTGTAATCCCAGCGCTTTGGGAGGTCGAGTTGGGCAAATCCCATGAGGTCAGGAGTTTGAGACCAGCCTGGCCAACATGGTGAAACCCCGTCTCTACAAAAAATACAAAAAATTAGCCAGGCGTGGTGGCACATGCCTATAATCCCAGCTACTTGAGAGGCTGAGGCAGGAGAATCACTGGAACCCAGGAGGCGGAGGTTGCGGTGAGCTGAGATCACTGAGACTGCAACACTGCACTCCAGCCTGGGTGACAGAGTGAGACTCCATCTTAAAAGAAAGAAACTATGGCTTGGGAGTAATGTAGATGATGGATAGGAGCGGGGTTGGGATGGTAGACAGGGAAACCAGTCAGGAGGTGGCTTGAAGTAGTTCAGTCATGACATGATGTTGGCCTAGACTGGAGTGGTTAGGATGAGAAGATAGGGAGAGAAGTGGATGGATGGAGGGGAGGTTTTAAAAGTAGTAGGACCAGTGATTGATTGGGTTCTGCCTCAGGCAGCTGCATAGATGACAATGGCCTTGACTGCCATAGGGCACACAGGAAGAAAAACGTGTGTGGCGGTAAAGTGAGAAGACACTGAGTTCGAAGACACGTGGGGTGCTCTCAGCTTAGGTGTGTCAGAAATAGTATGCTGCTTTTGAATCTGGAGCTCAGGGGAGACCTATAAACTGGAATTTTAGATCTGAGAGTCAGCCTGTGGATGGTAATCAAAGCCATGGTGCCAGGCGCGGTATGTAATCCCAGCACTTTGGGAGGCCGAGGTGGGCGGATCACGAGGTCAGGAGATTGAGACCATCCTGGCTAACACGGTGAAACCCCGTCTCTACTAAAAATACAAAAAATTAGCCGGGCGTGGTGGTGGGCGCCTGTAGTCCCAGCTACTTGGGAGGCTGAGGCAGGAGAATGGTGTGAACCCGGGAGGCGGAGCTTGCCGTGAGCTGAGATCGCGCCACTGCACTCCAGCCTTGGCACAGAGCGAGACTCCGTCTCAAAAAAAAAAAAAAAAAAAAAAGCCATGGTGCTGAGCATAGATGGAGAAGAGCTCAGCGTCTTAGGGCAGCGCCTTGGGGAGCCCCATTATTTACAGGAAGGGTGTTGTGAAGTAGCAGTCAGAAAAGAATGAGGACGATCAGGAGTGTGATTAACAAGGTCAAAGGATATAAGGATATTTGACTCAGTTTCTTTTTTTTTTTTTTTTAGATGGAGTCTCGCTCTGTGCCAGGTTGGAGTGCAGTGGTGCAACATCGGCTCACTGCCACCTCTGCCTCCTGGGTTCAAGTGATTCTCCAGCCTCAGCCTCCCAAGTAGCTGGGACTACAGGTGCATGCCACCACACACGGCTAATTTTTGTATTTTTAGTAGAGACAGGGTTTCATCATGTTGGCCAGGATGGTTTTGATCTCCCAACCTCGTGATCCGCCCGCCTTGGCCTCCCAAAGTGCTGGGATTACAGGTGTGAGCCACCGTGCCCAGCCGTATTTGACTAAATTTCTAAAGGTCCTGTCTCATTTTAATCTTTTTGCATTATGTTGTATTCATCTTAGCATTTGCCCCTTCATACTCAGGATTAGTAATTATTTGAGTACATCTTCACGCCTCTCATTTGGCCTGAGTTTGAAATGTTAACTCCAGTTTGGAGGTGATGAAGGAAGCATGTGAGAAAGGATGAGGCACAGGAGTGGAGTCAACCCCTGGGAGCTGGAGATGGAGAGGAGGCCAGCCATGGTGAAGCGAAGGAGGAGTGGGTGATAGCTTTGGGGAAACTGAAATGCTTGTAGGATATGGAGCCGGCATTTCAAGTGTTGGGAAATTACTGAAGACTGTTCAAAATGACAGTAACTGTGGTTTAAAAAAAAATCAGGCTGGATGCGGTGGCTCACGCCTGTAATCCCAGCACTTTGGGAGGCCGAGGCGGGTGGATCACCTTAGGTCAGGAGTTTGAGACCAGCCTGGCCAACATGGCAAAACCCTGTCTCTACTAAAAATACAAAAATTAGCTGAGCGTGGTGGTCCACGCCTGCAATCCCAGCTACTCAGGAGGCTGAGGTGGGAGAATCGCTTGAACCCAGGAGGCGGAGGTTGCAGTGAGCCGAGATCGCACCACTGCACTCCACCCTGGGTGACAGAGCGAGACTCCGTCTCAAAAAAAAAAAAAAAAATCATTGATTCACTATGATTGTATTGGGCAATAATGTGAAACATCATGGACGTCATTGACCAATGGAGATAACTGCAGTAAATTGGGGGTGAAGTGTTAACTAAGATGGTGACAATGAGAATGAAAAGCAGGGGACACATTTGAGAGGGATTATAAAGGAGGAATCGGCAGGTTTGGGGGATGGATCTGAAGGGAAATCCAAGTGGAAGGGATGAATCAGAGAGGATTCCCAGCCTTTGAGCACATATAACTAGGTAGGTAATGGTACTAATAACAAATCTCCAAATTTTAGAGTTAGGAAATATGTTTCAAATCATCCGATTCCATGTTTCTTAAATAGGCTGTAAGGGAGTATCCAGATTGGAAACCATTATAGAAATAATTGTCAACTCTTCTTTATGACTTCCTTCCTTTTGCCCTTTTCCCAGTGGTATTTTCCATGGTTCTGGAAATGACCTACTTTATGCCACCACTATATTTAGGCTGCAAATTTCCCCTGTCCATCCTGACCAAGGTTTGAACAATCCCATGTGGAGAGGAACTTAATTGCAGAATACCCTTTGCCATGCGTCTTTTTATTTTCCCTATATGCCGGGGGTACTTTTGGGGTGAGAATTGAAAAGGAAAAAATGGTAATGTGTGGGAATGTGTTCCAGCTCCAGACTTCCTCCTCACCCCACCAGGAAGCAGTATTGATGGTGCTTTCCTGATTAAAAAATTGCAAAATTTGGCCAGGTGCAGTGGCTCACTCACGCCTGTAATCCCAGCACTTTGAGAGGCCGAGGCAGGCAGATCACAAGGTCAGCAGATTGAGACCATCCTGGCCAACATGGTGAAACCCCATCTCTACTAAAAAGACAAAAATTAGCTGGGCATGGTGGCACGCACCTGTAGTCCCAGCTGCTCGGGAGGCTGAGGCAGGAGAATCACTTGAACCTGGGAGGCAGAGGTTGCAGTGAGCCAAGATCACACCACCGCAAAAAAAAAAAAAAAATTATATGGCAGTAAGTACAGTAGTGATCATAACAATTAGTTATTATAGTGTGGAGAAGATATGACTATTGAAGATATAAGTAAATTTTGCAAACTGATATCAATTTTTTAATTGTTTACAAATGTCCAGCCACATTGTATGCTGCTACATTAAAATAAGTGTTTTGTTAGGCATTGGTCTTCACCAAAACAAATGCTATGTTCAAATCATGAGAAATAATGGTCTTGCTCTGCTCAGTACTGTTAAAAATTCATCTGTTTTGTTTGATTCAGTTATGCATGCTGCATTAATGAACTGGAATACCTTATCTAGAATTGGGACCAGGCCCAGGTGAAACCAGCAAATGATATCATGTGAAGTGCCAGAGTATAGAGCTAGGATCAGCAAGCTATGGTTTATCCCGTTTTTGTACAGGTCATGAGCCAAGAATGGCATTTATATTTTTAAATGGTTGAAAAAAAATCAAAAGCTATTTTGTGACACATGAAAATTATATGAAATCCAAACCTTAGTGTCCATAAAACTTTTTGTAAAAGCAAAACAAACAAAAACCAGCCATGTTTGTTTGACTATGGTTTTTTTTGTTGTTGTTTTTTGTTTTTTTGAGATGGAGTCTCGCTCTGTCACCTAGGCTGGAGTGCAGTGGCGTGATCTCAGCTCACTGCAAGCTCCGCCTCCCGGGTTCATGCTGTTCTCCTGCCTCAGCCTCCTGAGTAGCTGGGACTACAGGCGCCACCACCACCGCCCGGCTAATTTTTTGTATTTTTAATAGAGACGGGGGTTTCACCGTGTTAGCCAGGATGGTCTCGATCTCCTGACCTTGTGATCCACCTGCCTCGGCCTCCCAAAGTGCTGGGATTACAGACGTGAGCCACCACGCCCGGCTGTTTGACTGTGTGTTATGTATGGTTGCTTTTGCACCGCAACAGCAGTTTTGAGTAGTTGCAACAGAGACGTATGGCCTACAAAACCTAAAATATTTACCACCTGGCCCATTGCAGAAAATGTTTACCAACCACTGGTCTAAAGCCGTGTTTCCCAAACCTTAGTGTGCCAATGAATTACCTGGGGATCTTGTTAAAAGACAGATACTGGTTCAGGAGGGCCAAGGTGGGACCTGAGAGTCAGCACTTCTGACCAGCTCTCAGACGATGCCAGAGTTGCTGGTCCTTGGCGCACACTTGCATTTATACGATATTTAAGAGGTGGGTGGGGGAGGGGGGTAGTGTGTTGTAGAGGAGAGATGATCAAATGTTTTACAGTAGAAATGGCCTTTTTTTTTTTTTTTTTTTGAGATGGAGTCTCACTCTCACCCAGGCTGGAGTACAGTGGCACAATCTCGGCTCACTGCAACCTCCGCCTCCCGGGTTCAAGCAATTCTTCTGCCTCAGCCTTCTGAGTAGCTGGGACAACAGGTGTGTGCCACCATGCCTGGCTAATTTTTTGTATTTTTAGAGTTGGGGTTTCACCATGTTGGCCAGGCTGGTCTCAAACTCCTGACCTCGTGATCTGCCCACCTCGGCCTCCCAAAGTACTGGGATTACAGGCATGAGCCCACCGCACCCAGCGAGAAATGGGCTTTTTATACCTTATTTCAAAGGCCAGAATAAGTACCAGTTGATTCCAGCTCTGCTTTTTACCTTAGGAAGAACTTTCTAATGATTGAAATTCATCATGGAATCACTGCAATGGCCGCAAACAGAGGCGTCTAAGAGACTGGGAAAGTGGCCGGCCTGGTGAGATCTCCAGCTTAATTTCTTTGACTGACAAAGAAAAGGCAAAGTGAGAGTATGAATTAGCAAGCCAGACACTGAATTGCTTATAGATATAAGGCCTAGCCTAGCAGGGACAGTATTAATTGAACTAATCTCTTAAATGGCACAACTGCTGGTTTACGTTTGTACCAGGAATAAGTAACTATTGAGGCCTAACATGAAATCAACTCATAAAGAGTAAATGTGTAGCTGTAGGTTTATAATTTAATTTGTACTGACTGAAAAAGCTACAGTTGTCAGACGTCTGCAATTTCATTTTTTCACTCATGAGCCAGTTAAAAGATAATCCCTGCCATTGTTACTCTTCGCTTGTGTCCATTTCATGCACATCCCCTCCCTGAAAGCTGTTGTATCAGCCTTATGAATGGATGTATATTTGTAGGTGGATCTTCCAGCTGCAAGTCATTGTAGCCCTGACGAGTGAATCCTCTTGTTAATGGCTCCTTTAAGCAGTACTTTTGGTGGGGAAAGAAAAGAGAGAAAGAAACTAGCCATTTTGAGCAAGCCAATCAATGTTGGAGACCAGAGCGCATTTAGACAGATGATCGAGTAATGGAATATTTAAGCAACGCGATATTTGCTATTGATGAATACTTTTAAAACCATAAACCTCATTAAATTAATAGTACAACTGTCTGCTCAAAATTCAGTGAGTGCTTATAGTCGTGGTTTCATTGTATTTCTCCACTTTGAACGCTTTTCATTTCAGCTTGTCACAGGCTTTTAAAGGCATGATTTATGCTTCATAATACCCTAAGGAGGTTAAGTATTTTCATATTTATTGCACAGAAGAGTATTTTGTGATTGCTTGCCTGTCCTAAAATCAGCTTGGCTGGAAAAGGACCTAAGAATTCTGACCTCAGCTCTGTATCCAAACCAGGAGTCAGCGTTTGAAAAATGTGAGTCAATATCTTGCCCAGAGAGTTTGTTTCATTCCACTAACCTGGGGCAAGAACAGATGGTGGGAGGCAGCAGACAAACAATGCTGCTTTTTATTTTGTAAATCTGCCTAGATCCCTACATCCCAGAGCTGGGCCACATTGATACAGGCCAAACATCTTTCAGCTCTTTCAGATGTTTTCAGCCAGCTCTTTCAGATGTTTTCAGCCAGCTCTTCATCATCCACCATGTTATGTTGATCGTGGTCGTAATTGTTATCCTGAATGATTAAAACCCAAGTAGGTCAAAGTGTCTGTGATCTGTCCGAAGCGTGTTGGCCATCTTACCCTCACCAGTATTTTTGTGTATTGATATTTTTCAAAATCAGAATCATTTTAGATGCCCAGAGACCCTAGTGTACTTTCCCCATTCTACGTGCCCACTTCTGACTTGCCTTTCATGGAGTCTTTGGGTTTATTATGGTTATCTCTCTTTTGGCAAGTCAAAGGTAGGGTACTTTTTTTTTTTTTTTGCGATGGAGGCTTGCTCTGTTGCGCCCAAGCTGGAGCGCAGTGGCACGATCTCAACTCACTGCAAGCTCCGCCTCCCGGGTTCATGCCATTCTCCTGCCTCAGCCCCCCAAGTAGCTGGGACTACAGGCGCCCGTCACCACTCCCAGCTATTTTTTTTTTTTTTGTATTTTTAGTAGAGACGGGGTTTCACCGTGTTAGTCAGGATGGTCTCGATCACCTGACCTCGTGAGCCACGGCGCCCAGCCAAGGTGGGGTACATTTTAAGAAAAACATTTCAGGACCCACGTATGTTGTTTCATTCATTTAGCTAGATGGATTATATCCCTTTTGGCTGTAGCTTGCCTGAGAACCAGTGGCTTGATTCCCACAGTCAGACTGTAACGGATTCCTTCCCTGCAGAGTCTGTTTTTCTCTCATCCCTCCATATACCACTCTTTTGTTTTTAAAATTTTTTAAATTGACAAAAATTATTATTAGGTAAAATATATTGTTTGAAATATATATACATTGTAGAATGAATAAATGGAGATAGTTAACATATATGTTACCTCATATACTTAAACCTTTGAAAATACTGTTCTTGTGACACGATTTGATGCTCAAAAAACTCTGGTTGTTTTCTTATTATCTAAAGGATGAAGTTAAAATTCCTTAGGCTGTTACTAAAGGCCCTCTTTAATCGAACGCTCGTTTTCTTCTACTCCATGTAAGTTTCCTCTATTTCAATTCCACATATATCTTCTATTTACCTATTATGGTTCTAGGTGCTCTTTAAGCAGTGGGTATAAAGCCTTATGTTTTTAATTTGTCTGGGGAAACAGGGCATGTTTTCACAATCCAGATAAGTAACGATGAAAGTCAGCATGCATATCGTTAAGCAGAAACTGACGTATATGGGTGAACATCACTTGAATCCTGGACTCTTCAGGGTTCTGTCTTTGGGTCTCTCTCACTCTGCATGCTCTTATTGGGGTCCTCTCCTGTTCATAATGGCTAATGCTTATCCTAATCTCCTGTGCTCTAGCCTTTTTTAGATGTTAACGTTTCAATCTGTACTTTTCTACATTCCTAGATCCATATTTCCAACTTTACTCAGCATCTTCACCTGAACGGTCCTTCAAATGCAACATGTCTAAAACACGGCTCAGTATCTTTCCCCACAAACCTGTTCCATTCCTTTTGTTCTTTATCTTGGTTATTAGTGTCACCCTCCAACTTATTTTCAAGGTTATGAGGTAGGAGATCAGCAGGACTTGTTTTCTGAGCACCAGTCACAACCCACTGATTGGAGAAAGATGTGGTCAAAACAGGGCGTGCAGTGAAGAAGCCAGCTGAAACCAGCAAATGGTGATGAAAGTGACCTCCAGTTGCCCTCACTGCTCATTAACATAAAGGCACTCCCAGCAGTGCCATGGCAGTTTACAAATGCCGTGGCAACATGCCATGGGAATGACCTGAAAGTTATCTTCTATGCATCTAGAAATGCCCCACCCCTTTTCTAAAAGGTCTAAATAACCCACCTCTTCATTTGCATGCAACTAAAAGTAGATATAAATACAGCTAGCCAACAGCCCATATGCTGCTGCTCTGGACACACTGCCTATGAGTTAGCCCTGCTCTACAAGGAACAGTACCTCTGCTGCACACTGCCGCTCACCTCTGGCTCACCCTTGAATTCTTTCCTGGGTGAAGCCAAGAACCCTCCCAGGCTAAGCCTGCCTGCCCTATATCAGTTAGACATCTGCAGCCAGTCACTGAATTCAGTTGATTTCACCTCTGAAACTGTCTCTCACATTTTTCTTCCCACCTCTGCTGCCTTAATTTGCTTTGATCCCAGACCCTGTCTTCTCTGCCTTGGAACTATGGCTATACCTAGCTGGGTTTCCTGCCACAAGTCCTTTAGTGTTCCACTCTGTCTTCCCCTCTGCTAACGCAATTAGTTTCTTAAAAACAAATCTGATTGTGTTGTTTTCATGCTAAAATCCTCTAGTGGCTTCTTGTCACATTGAGGATGAAATAGCAACTTTAAGATCCTGACATACTGGCTGGGCGCAGTGGCTCACGCCTGTAATCCCAGCACTTTGGGAGGCTGAGGCCGGCGGATCACGAGGTCCAGAGATCGAGACCCTCCTGGCTAATATGGTGAAACCCTGTCTGTACTAAAAATACAAAAAATTAGCCGGGCATGGTAGCACCTGTCTGTAATCCCAGCTACTCAGGAGGCTGAGGCAGGAGAATTGCTTGAACCTGGGAGGCGGAGGTTGCAGTGAGCCGAGATTGCGCCAGTGCACTCCAGCCTAGGCGATAGAGTGAGCCTCCGTCTCAAAAAAAAAAGATCCTGACATACTAAAGCCCGTTTTACCCCCTAGGCAGCATCATCTCTTCTGTAGCTGCACTGACTACAGCAATCCATCTCACCACTCCTTACCTTCTTCTGTGCTGTTCTCCTTGCTTATGATGCTCAAGAAGAGCATCTTTCTTACCTAAAAGACACACACAACCGTAGTTCAAATATCATCTTCCCCATTAAACTCTTCCTCACTTTCCTAGGAAGAGTTGGCCCATTTCTCTGGGTCCTCACAATACTCTGTGGAGCAGCTAGAGTTTTCACTCTTTTGGATTCCCACCCTCCCTTCCCCCGTTTTAATATCTGTGACCCCCTGAAGTACTCTGTGTATTCCTTAAGAGAAGGGGCCACATTTTTTCCCATTCTTTTTTCCCCCACATACAAAAAATGGTAATATTTAATGCCTACAACATGATGAGTTTGGAGATAGGTGTACATCCATGAAACCATCATCACAATCTATGGAGGAGGAACTTCTTATCTCCAGTAGGGCCAATAGGTAGTTTTTGACTGAATGAAAGAATGAATGGATGCTTTTCATGAGTGATATTGTGGGCCGAAGAGATTGAGAAAAGCTTATAGTGATGAAGGATCTTTGATTTCATCCCAAACCACTAATTGAGCATCTGTGCAATGCAAGTGCTCACGACAAAGCTATGAAGTGGAAATTACTATTTCCGTTTTGCTGATTTTGAAACTAAAGACTTGGGTTATTTGGTTAAGACCGTCTAGCTCATCATAAGTGAAGGAGACGTGATTTGAACCCACACTGGCCTGGGGTCCAGGCGTATGCCTTGTCTTCCACATCAAAACGCTAGTGTCAAAGAATAAATCTTAGGAGTGCATTATGACGATGGTGATTTTGAGATTATAAAGCATTTGGGAGCTCACAAAGGAAGCCTGTGGTTTTGTAGAGGACTAGAACTATTTTCACAACTGGTTTCCCTGACTGCATCCATATCTGTGTGGCCTTAATATTGTTTGACTCACAAAGGAAACTTGTTGATCCAGAGTGAACCAGTTCAACTTTCTTCTCCTCAATCTCAAGAGTATTCCATGGAGGAAAATGTTCTAAACTGCACCTGAGCTATAAACAATTTACTCTGAAGGTAACAGTGTTAGTATTCCAGTACGTAAACCTTTAGCTAATAACAATCAAAGTAGCCTAATTTGGAAAGTACACAGAAGGTTAGAGGGAAAGCTTGTAAATGTTTTCAAAGACTCTGTATTTAATTCTATCACCAGCTAGCAAAATAAATAGGCCAGCTGCTAGCTCTGAAACAGACACGTGGTGGAAATGAAATGTTAATAGTTGAAATGCCTTGCTCATTCGAAACCAAAAGGAACATGAAGTACACTTTCTAGTTTATGAGAGACAAGGTGAAAGTTCCCAAAACACATTTGTGGTGACTGCATTTAAAATTGCTTCCTCATCTTTTATTTTAGTGGCTAATACTTTAGTGTGGCCTATGTGTGACTAGAGGGCATTTTTTTTTTCTTCCGATTTAGATGGAAGGTTTGGAAATAAATGGAGAGTGGAAATCGGGAGATGTTAAATTCTACTTTTCCATGTGTCTAAGTTGTTTGCTCTAGTTTGTAAGCTGCAGGCCAGACTTTTCTGAGGAATGGGAGGTTACTTTCAATAATGTGCTAAGATTGACCTGAGATATTTAGCCAGCACATCTGCTTGCAAGCTCTGGCCGTATGTGAGGAGCTTATACTGGAATTAATTAACTCTGTTTGGTATTCTGAAATGTTTGCTCCACATCTTGTTTTACCATCACAAAACTTACAAAATCAATTGGAACTTTTTTATTTTTACTTAAGAACTTAAAAAAAAAAGCCAGGTGAAAAAGAGAATCTGAAAAGCAGTTGTTTTCCTGCTTGAAGCAAACTTTCAAGAACGAGCATTAGAATCAGAATTTATTTTTTCAAATACTTCTTTTTAACTTAAAATGATGGTGAAGTGTAACTCTTTCATCCATTACATTAATGCCATTTTTGAAATGTTTGATTTTATTAGAAAACAAGGAGATTGAAGTGAGAGGGGTATCCTGTATGCTGAGATAGTCACAGCATTACAAAATGTTTTATGAACCAAAATGTTGTCCTAGGAACACTCTGACTTCAGAAAGGAAAAGGAAGGGAGGTTTCTGGGAAAGCTCTGCAAGCATAGCCTTGACCTGTATTTGGAGACAGTACAGCACTCGTGGTCTTAACACCATGATGTTAATGTCAGAACGTTTGGCACTATGTTGTTGCTAACCTGCTGTTCTTAAACAAGTGAGCCTTACCTTGTTACTTTTCTCAGTTAGTAAAATTGGGAAGAGGACTACCTTCTAGAATTCAGCCACAGCACCAGTGTCATGACTGTGTTCTCTCTTCCTTTAAACCTGCTGCCCTTGGCCAGCCGCGGTGGCTCACGCCTGTAATCCCAGCACTTTCAGAGGCCGAGGCAGGTGGATCACAAGGTCAAGAGATCGAGACCATCCTGGCCAACATGGTGAAACCCCATCTCTACTAAAAAACAAAAAAACAAAAAAAACAAAACAACAACAACAACAACAACAAAAACCCTGCTACCCAATGAGATGCTCAGCAACTCATAATTTATTAAAAAATGAGCCAAAGGCCAGGCGCAGTGGCTCACACCTGTAATCCCAGCACTTTGGGAGGCCGAGGCAGGTGGATCACGAGGTCAGGAGATCGAGACCATCCTGGCCAACATGGTGATACCCCATCTCTACTAAAAAAAAAAACAGAAAAATAAAACAACAACAACAAAAATGCTACTACCCAATGAGATGCTCAGCAACTCATGGTTTATTAAAAAACAAGCCAAAGGCTGGGCGCAGTGGCTTACACCTGTAATCCCAGCACTTTGGGAGACCAAGGCAGGTGGATCACGAGGTCAGGAGATGGAGACCATCCTGGCCAACATGGTGAAACCCCATCTCTACTAAAAAAAAACCAAAACAACAACAACAAAAAAACCCCTGCTACCCAATGAGATGCTCAGCAACTCATGATTTATTAAAAAACAAGCCAAAGGCCGGGGGCAGTGGCTCACGCCTGTAATCCCAGCACTTTGGGAGGCCGAGGCGGGTGGATCACGAGGTCAGGAGATTGAGACCATCCTGGCTAACATGGTGAAATCCCGTCTCTACTAAAAATACAAAAAATTAGCCAGGCATGGTGGCGGTCGCCTGTAGTCCCAGCTACTTGGGAGGTTGAGGCAGGAGAATCACTTGAGCCTGGGAGGCAGAGGTTGCAGTGAGCCAAGATCACGCCACTGCACTCCATCCTGGGCAACAGAGCGAGACTCTGTCTCAAAAAAAAAAAAAAAAAAGCCAAAACCACTGAGCCCAACTGTCCGTCAACAGATGAATGTGTAAACAAGTTGTAGTATGTACTTAAAATGGTCTATTATTCAGCCATAAAAAGAATGAAGTTTTGATATATGCGATTACATATATGAACCTGGAAGACATTCA